>NT_167245.2:809165-983535 GCF_000001405.40 Homo sapiens
CTTGTGGCTGATGCTGGTCAGAGAAGCCCTTCCAAATGGGAACATGGGTGTAGGAAATATGTGCTTCTCACACTCCCAAAGGATCACAAATGGGGCCCTGTGTCTCTTAACTTCCTTATGTACAAAAGTACATACTCACTAGAATATGATTTTACAACATTTCCATCATTCCTATACAATGTGTTGGGAAGTGATCCTTTCTGATCTATATTTTGGAAGAGTTTGTATAGAATTGTATTATTTTTTTCTTTAAATGTTTGGTAGAATTCACCAGTAGAGACATCTGGGCCTGGGCCTTTTTTGTGGGAAGATATGCAATGACAGTTTTAATGTCTTTACTTCTTGTAGGCTTATACAGATTTTCTATTTCCTCTTGAGTCAATTTTGGTAATTAGTTTTTCTAGAAATTTATCCATTTCATCGAAGGTGTCTAGTATGTTAGGATAAAGTTGTTCATAGGATTTCTTTATAATCCTTTAAATTTCTATAAAGTTGGTAATGATGTGCCCAATTTCATTTCTGATTTTAGGAATTTGAGGCCATTTTTTTTTCTTGGTAAGTCTAGCTAAAGGTTTGTCAATTGTGTTGTTATTTTCCATGATTCAACTTTTGGTTTCATTACTTTTCTCTATAGTGTTTTATTTTCTATTCCATCTACTCTTGCTCTCTTCTTTATTATTTCCTTTCTTCTGCTTGCTTTGGGGTTAGTTTTCTCTTCTTTTCCTTGCTTCTTACCATAGAAAGTTGAATTACTGATTAGAGGTATTTTTCTTTTCCAATGTAGGCATTTACAGCTACAGATTTTCCTCTAAGCACTGGTTTATCTCCATCTCATAAATGTTGACATGTTATGGTTTCATTTCATTTCATGCATATTCTTTTTAATTTCCCCTGTGTTTTTTTTTCTTTCACCTGTTATTTGTGGATTCCTGAAGTTTCCAACTGTTGGTGATTACTCATTCAATTCCATTGTGGTTGGAATACATATATTGTATTAGTTCAATTTTTTTTTAATTTATAGATAATTTGTGCCCTCCCATCTAGTCTATCCTGGAGAATGTTCCATATGTGTTTCAAAAGCGTGTATAATTCATTTGTTGTTGTCAAGTAGGTCAAGTTGGTTGATAATGTTTCAGGCTCTGTATCCTTGCTGATTTTCTATCTAGTTGTTCCATCAATGATTGATAATGGAGTGTTGAAATCTTCAACTATTTTTAATGATTTGTTTATTTATCCCCTCAATTCTGTCATTTTCATGTTTTATGTATTTGGGGGATGTGTTGCTAATTGTGTGTATGTTTATAATCCTCATATCCTCCTGATAAATTGAAATTTTATCATTATAGAATATGCCTCTTTATTTCTAGTAACGCTATTTTTCTCAAGGTCTACTTTGTCCAATATTAGTAGAGCTGTCTCAGCTCTTTCATCATAGTTTTCTACATGGTATACTTTTTTCCACCCTCTTTTTTTAACCTATTCATTTTAAAATCAAAACTGCCTCTGGTAGACTGCATATACCAGACATTGGACATACTAGGTGAACATATTAGACGAACAATTTTAAACACGTTCAAAGAACTAAAGGAAACCATGTCAAAAGAACTAAAGGAATGCATGAGAATGATATCTCACCAAATACAAAACATCAATAATGAGATGGAATGTTAAAAAAGAAACAAGGCCGGGCGCGGTGGCTCACGCCTGTAATCCCAGCACTTTGGGAGGCCGAGGCAGGCGGATCACGAGCTCAGGAGATCGAGACCATCCCAGCTAAAACGGTGAAACCCCGTCTCTACTAAAAATACAAAAAATTAGCCGGGCGTAGTGGCGGGCGCCTGTAGTCCCAGCTACTTGGGAGGCTGAGGCAGGAGAATGGCGTGAACCCGGGAGGCGGAGCTTGCAGTGAGCCGAGATCCCGCCACTGCACTCCAGCCTGGGCGACAGAGCGAGACTCTGTCTCAAAAAAAAAAAAAAAAAAAAAAAAAAAAAAAAAAAAAGAAACAAATAAAATTCAGTAATTGATAAATAAAATCGTAGAAATAAAAACTTCACTAGATAGCCTCAATAACAGATTTGAGAAGGCAGAAGAAAGAATCAGTAAATTTAAAGATAGGTGGGGAAATTATCCAGTATGAGGAACATGAATTAAAAAGAAGAAGAATGAACAGAGTTTCGGAGACCTGTGGGACACAATCCAGTGTACCAAAACACATAAACGAGAATTTTCAGGAGAGGATAGAATAAAAGGAACAGAAGGAATATTTAAAGAAATACTAGCTGAAAAACTCCAAATTCAATGAAAAAATGTTAATCTACACTTTCACAAAGCTCAACAAACTTAGATAAAATAAATTCAAAGAGATTCACACATAGAAACATTATAATCAAACTGCCAAGAAGCAAAGAAAGAATCTTGAGGGCAAAAAGAGGGAAGCAACTTATCATGTACAAGAGATTCTCAGTAAGAATAAGAACTAATTTCTCATGAAAAATTACAGAGTCAGGAGGCAATGGGATGACATATTCAAAGTAGCAAAAGTAAAATACTGTCAATGAACAATTCTAAAGCCAGCAAAACTATTCTTCATAAATGAACTAGAAATTAAACATTCTCAGATTTTGAAAACTGAGAGAAGCTGTAATTACCAGACCTGTCTTATGGGAAATTATAAAAGCAGTCTTGCAGGTTGACATGAAAGGACACTACATAGCAACTCGAATCCACATGAAGAAATGAAGAACTCCAGTAAAGATAACTACATGGGTAAATATAAAAGACAGTATAAATGCAATTTGTTTGCGATTTCCTCTCTCATATGATTTAAAAGACAAATACATAATGAAATAATTATAAATCTGTATTGATAAGCCTACAATGTATAAAGATGTAATTTGTACGGCAATAAAAACACAAAGAAGCAGAAGAGAATGGAGCTGTATGGAAGCAAAGGTTTTGTGTGCTATTGAAATTAAATTGCTATTAATCTGACTAAATTGTTATAAATTATTAATTGCAAGATCCAGGGCAATATTTAAAAAATACCTCAAAAAGTATAGTAAAAGAAACAACAAGGAGAATTAAGTAAAACACTAACAAAATTTATTTAACATACAAAGGCAGTAATAATGGAATAGAGCAATAAAAAACACGATATAAAGAAAATAAGTAGCAAAATGACAGGTCAAAATCCTATACTATCAGTAATTACATTAAATGTAAATATATTAAACACCCCCTTTAAATGGCAGAGACATGAAAAAAAAAAAGAAATCCTGTCATTCATGGCAACATGGATGAACCTGGAAGACACCATGTTAACTGAAATAAGCAGGCACAGAAAGATAAAGACTGTGTGTTCTCACTCACATATGGAAGCTAAAAAATGTTGAGCTCATTAGAAATAGAGAGTGGAATTTTGATTATTAGAGCACAGGAAGGATCGAAGGGAGGAGAGAGGGAAGGATAGGAAGAGATTGGTTCATGGATACAAAATTACAGCTAGATACCAGGGGAGGAGGCTGGCAAGATGGTGGAATAGGAATAGCTCTGGTCTGCACCTCCCAGCAAGATTGACCCAGAAGGTGGATGATTTCTGCATTTCCAACTGAGGTACCCAGTTCATCTTATTGGGACTGGTTGGACAGCGGGTGCAGCCCATGGAGGGTGTGCCAAAGCAGGGTGGGGCATCGCCTCACCCGGGGAGCACAAGAGGTCAAGGAACTCCCTCTCCTAGCCAAGGGAAGCCGAAGCCTTGAGGGACTGTGTGGGGAGGAACGGTGCACTCTGGCACAGATACTGCGCTTTCCTCACGTCTTCGAAACCTATAGACCAGGAGATTCCCTCTGGTGCCTATGCCACCAGGGCCCTGGGTTTCAAGCACAAAACTAGGAGGCTGTTTAGGCAGACACCAAGCTAGCTGCAGGAGGTTTATTTTTTCTGATTAAGTCAAGCAGCAGTTCTCACCGTGGCTAATTAGGCCTCCCACTGGGACATTTGGCAATGTCTGGAGCTGGTTTTGATTGTCACAATTAGAGAGGATGCACTACTATCACCTAGTGGGTAGAGCCCCGAGATGGTGCTAAACACCCTACAATGCACAGGACAGCACCCCCAACAAAGGATGATCCAGTCAAAATCGTCAGTAGTACTGAGGTGGAGGGCACTGATCTTTAGATCTTGTGACTAGGCTTTTTCTTTCTGAGTAACATGGAAACTGCTGAAAGATTTTGAGATAAGAAGTGGTATGATCTGAGTTGTTATAAATGGGTTACTCTGGCTTCCATGTTGAGAATATACTAAAGGTTAAGGGAAGAACCAGAGGATTATTTCAATCATCCAAGCAAGAGATGTTGACAAGGACAGACCAGAGTGGTGGTCCTAACAGTGATAACGACTTGTCAGTTTCACAACATATTTTTGCAGGTAGAGCCAATAGAATTTGTGGGTAGATTATATGTGAGTGAGATGAAGAAGAGTCAGTATCACAAGATTTTTGTCTGAGAAACTAGAAGAATGGATTTTCATTACGGGAGATGAGAAAGGCTACAGAAGAAGCACATTGTGGGGGAGAGGGTGGGTAGTAAGGAGCTCAGTTTATGGCATGTTAAATCTGAGATGTGTATTAGATACCAAAAGCTGCTGGTGGGTAGACAATTGGACATAGGAATCTGGAGGTTAGGAGAAAAATCCAGCCTGGAAATATAAATTTAGGAGTCATCAGCATATAGATGGTGTACAATGTCATAAGACTGGATGACGGAAGTGCATGTAAGAAAGGAAAGAGGACTGAACCCTAGGCACAGCAGGGAGAGGAGGAGAAACCAATAAAGGAGATTCAGAAGGAGCAGCTGGGAGACTTTGGTGATTTGAAGCTGTCAGTCAGCTCAGACTGCCATAACAAAATACCATAAACTGGGTGGCTTCAACAACAGAAGTTGATTTCTCACAGTTCTGGAGGCTGGGAAGTTCAAGATCAAGATGCTGGCTGATTTTGTTCCTGGTGATGGCTCTCCTCCTGGCTTGCAGACAACTCCCTACTTGCTGCCTCCTCACGTGGCCTTTCCTCTTTTATAAGGAAACTAATCCTATTTGGCCCTCACCTTTGTGACCTCATTTAACTATAATTACCTCCTAAAATGCCCATTTCAAATACCATCACATTGAGGATTAGATTTTCAACATATGAATTTTGGGGGGGGACACAATTCAGTCCATAGCAGAAGTGAAAGGCATGTTCCAAAAAGGAAAGCTAAGTCCACTCTATTGAAAAGCTTCTAACAGGTCAAGTAACATGAGGACTGAAAACTACTATATCAATGTGGAGGTCAGTTTGTGACCTTCGATGAAAGGTTTCCAGTGCAGAAACCTTGTTGGAGCCAACCCGAAAGAGAATTCAAGGACTTGGATGGTAGCTAGGGGGAAGTGAAGTCAAGAGAAGATTATTTTCTGATGAGTGAAATCAAAGTATGTTTATGTATTGATGGGGATGGTCCACTGGAAGGACAAATTATATTACAGGAAAGAGGGGAAAGATTAGAGTAATGTCCCTGAATAAGTGGAAAGGGATGGAATATAGTGGGCAAGTGGGGGTACTGGCATCAGACAGATGCAAAATAGTATATTCCTAGCAGTATCAGAAGAAAAGGTGGAGTCCCATATGTGAGCACAGATGCAAGTAGGTGAACAGGTGGGTTAGTAAGAACTTCTCTTTTTATTGCTTTACATTTTTTCAGTAAAAAATGAAGTAAAATTTTTATCTGAGAAAGATGATATTATTTGAGAGAGAGGAGTACTGGGGATTTGAGGGGAGACCAGAAAGTATGCATGAGTTACGTAGGAGAGGGGAAAGTGAGTGGACTAGGAAAATATGATTATCAATGACATTAGCCCCTTCCTCTTAAAGTAGTGGTCATGAATGTAAAGTGAAACCTCTCAGTGTGGCTATTGGCTTTCCTTCGGCCACAGTCAGCTGAACAAATATAGGGAGAGAGTAGGACTATAGTTGGATTTAAATAGGAAAGCAATTTAGCTGAAAGAGTGTAACAAGTGAAAAGGGCAGGAACATTGATGTATGCAAAGGAGTAATAGTGATTGACGAGACAGTCTAAGCTTGATAGAGAACTGAAGATACAAGGGGCGTGAGGGGCCACGATGAATTTGCGGACCTCTCACTGAGGAAGAAACTGAGAGGAAAGTATAGAAAGATAATCTATGAGGATACTGAATTCACCAAGAATCATCACAGTACTGGAGAGAGTGAGAGGGGATCAGGGACAAAAATCTTCAAGGACGAAGGAGGAGCAAAGGGAAAGAGAATGATGAGAGCCACAAGTGGGGAGGTGGACTTTGGAGCAAAGCTGATGACATAACAGTCAAAGCTACATTCAAAACTAATAATGACTTCAACAAATCTACAAAATTCCTGACAGAAAGGGTTATTTTCCTTGTTTTACAGATGATGACATTGAGAGTCACTGAAGTTAAACAATTAGCTTAAGGTCACTCCATCAGAGAATGAAATTCTAAACCAGTTCCAATTGAATAGTAGAAATGTTAATGAGAGGGAATTACGCTGCCTTTGGCCTTCATACACTGCCAGAGGCACACTACCCTAAAGGGACTTTCCCTCCAGAATTTCCTCTTCCCCACTCTTGGGGACTCCTCTCCGGACACCTTCATGCAAAGTACTAATGATAGGAGTGGGACATCTATTCCCCAGAGCTCCATCCTCTCTTCTAAATAACAGGGAACGTTGAGTCCCCTGTTTTTTCTCTAGTGAGAGCACTCATCAGCATGCTTCCTCCTTCTCTCTAACTGTGTCCTTTAGATCCAGGAGGGATATTTGCTACCACCACCAGCTAATGCTGATTTGCTACCAGCACAAGGCCCAGGTCCTTGTCTGGTCTGTACCCCATTACAAGGTTCTCCAGGAACAGACATCACCACCTCTGCCTAGATCCTGAAATTTCACAAATGTAGGTTCTTTCTTACCCGTTCTTTTTATTCCTCTATTTACAAGCACAATGACACCCACCCCTCATCTTCTTCCTGAAATACCTGGCTCTGATCTCAGGCATCCATTCCAGAAATCAACACAGCTATGCAATTGCATCTTTTATTAAATACTCCCAACTCCATTTCAAATCCAGAGAATCCAGAGCAGGAGCAAGAGACCAACCTATCATCTGGAAACTCAAGGTGTAAACATTAGTGCCAAAGATTAGTCATGAAGGTAAGTTGGGTATTACAGTGCCCTACAACAAAATGGTCTTGTGCCGAGAGCCACATTCTGAAATACCAAGTGAAGTTTGATGACACATTATATTATATATTTCACAACAGATTTGTCTTCTAGATGTGTGAGGGAGATGATGGGTTTATGTGTACAGGTGCACACATGCCTATGTTTTGGGGAATTTGTGCATACATGTAACAAGAATGTTATCTGTGCAGTTTTATTATTGTGTGCCTGTTTTCATGGTGTGGCATATTTGAAGAGGAATGGTTTAGAGCTTGCCAGGCTGAACAGTTATGTGTCCGTGTAATCACCGCATTAAAGAATTTGACCTTTTGTAACTCAACATCTCTAGCCACCATTGGTCTGTAAGCCTGAATGTCACCTCTCCTACTTTATTCATCTCTGATATGACCCCAAATTATAAAATGATCTATAAATATAGGTAAGACTTTGCATGTCCTTTCATACTCCACAGTCTCTAGCACAGTGGATCCTGGTTGATCAAACAGGAAGGACCTCGAAGTTAGTCAAATATAAGTGGAAAACCTATTAAGCATTTACAAATAATGTGGCCTTGGGCAAGTAATTTAACTTCAGTTACTCTCCTAACATACTCTATAAAATAAGGCTATTGCCTAATATTCAAGTGAGTTAAGATTAGAGTTAATAAATGAAAAGAGCTGTAAATGTTCATAGCAGTTGTATCACTGCCTAGCATAAGAACCCCTTAAAAACCTGTTTCTTAATTTGGGAAACAGATATGACGATAGTTAGCATTTATTAAAGGATGACAGTTAACAACTGCTATGTGCCAGGCCTTGTTCTAACAGCTTTTCATATTTAGCCCACTTAACATATTTCTATTTTCATATGAGGAAACTGAGGCAGAGAGAGGCTAAGTAACATACCCAAGGTTTTCCAGCTAGAAAATGGCAGAGCCAGGACTCAAACCCAGGCAGTCTGGCTGCTGAGCCCTGGTTCTTAATTATGACATTAATGCTTATTCTGCCCAGTGAGGATAAAATGAGTGAAACATAAAATCAAACAGGATGTTTTGGTAGGGAGCAGTGTTTTTTCCCTCTGAAAAATGAAAAATTAGGTTATTGTGATTTTGTAATTTACAGCAGTGAATATGATGTGAAAAATAAGTTATCCATATAATAATTTATGTCAGGAGTCATGCAGCAGAAAGATTTCTGTCCATCACGTAAACTTTCATCCATTACATAACCCATATGTTTCTGTACCATTAAGACACTTGGTTCAACAAGACCCTTGGAGAATGAGGTTCCTTTTGTTCCCTGGGGTTCTCTTTTTATTTTATTTTTGGATTAATATTTGATAGTAAAGCCAAGGATTTGGGACAGGAAACTTAGATGACATCTAGTTCAAACTCCTTGATTTACATATGAAAAAATTGAGACAGAGGGAAATGAAGATTTCCCCATATCATATAACTGGCTAAAGGGAGCTATGTAGGTAAAACCAAGATGTCCTGATATTCTAGTCTACCAGAAAGTGTTCTTTTTTTCTACCCAACTTATTCCTGATTTAAAGGCTAGTATACGTGTGCTGATCTCCCCTCAGTGGGAGGGGCATGGACGTTGGGAGTAGTCTCTATTCACAACAAATTAAAAATCAGTAATCAGCCGTATAATGGGTTGTGTTAGAAAGTAAACTAAGGCCCAATAAAATATTTAAGAGTTTATTTGAGCAGTGATCCAGAAGTGGCTAGGGAGCTCCCCAGAGAGAACATGAGGAGGAGGCTTTTTAGGACAAATAGATAAAAGCAAAGATAATATTTCATTGGTTACAGTTATACAGTTACACAGTTATACAGTTGCCTTATTTGGTCTATCCCATGAGGAAGTCCTAGTTACTAATTACGTTTTTGTTGGCTGCTTCTGATTGGTTGAGCTTAAGTTCTGTGTTTCTTTAACATAGGCATTTACAAGAAATACCACAAATAAAGTTTCAGACATGCTTGCAAATCAAGCAAGGTTAAGGTCACTTAGGAGGCCCAACTGGCTCTGTCTGCTCAAGGATTCTTCTGGCCTCGTCTCCATTTTACATGAACTGTTGCATAAATAAACACAGAGTACCTGAAACAACGGAGGTGATCATTCTGCCTACCGAGTGTTGGCCAGGCCAAGCTTGGAGTGTTGCTCTTATTCTTAGGGAGTTTATTTTTAAGTAATCTCATCTGTAAATGGGATTACAATCCACAAACTGACCTTGTATATGATTCCATTCCTTCTCCCAGCCCAGCCCCACACTCCAAGGTTTTCCCTTTGCTTATAAGGGGTAGTCACCCTTTTTTATTTCGACCTTCCAAACATTCTGGGAGTTTTCCTCCTTTAGGCCAACTACAGCGCAGAGGAGCGCTTTCTCCTGCTGGGTTTCTCCGACTGGCCTTCCCTGCAGCCGGTCCTCTTCGCCCTTGTCCTCCTGTGCTACCTCCTGACCTTGACGGGCAACTCGGCGCTGGTGCTGCTGGCGGTGCGCGACCCGCGCCTGCACACGCCCATGTACTACTTCCTCTGCCACCTGGCCTTGGTAGACGCGGGCTTCACTACTAGCGTGGTGCCGCCGCTGCTGGCCAACCTGCGCGGACCAGCGCTCTGGCTGCCGCGCAGCCACTGCACGGCCCAGCTGTGCGCATCGCTGGCTCTGGGTTCCGCCGAATGCGTCCTCCTGGCGGTGATGGCTCTGGACCGCGCGGCCGCAGTGTGCCGCCCGCTGCGCTATGCGGGGCTCGTCTCCCCGCGCCTATGTCGCACGCTGGCCAGCGCCTCCTGGCTAAGCGGCCTCACCAACTCGGTTGCGCAAACCGCGCTCCTGGCTGAGCGGCCGCTGTGCGCGCCCCGCCTGCTGGACCACTTCATCTGTGAGCTGCCGGCGTTGCTCAAGCTGGCCTGCGGAGGCGACGGAGACACTACCGAGAACCAGATGTTCGCCGCCCGCGTGGTCATCCTGCTGCTGCCGTTTGCCGTCATCCTGGCCTCCTACGGTGCCGTGGCCCGAGCTGTCTGTTGCATGCGGTTCAGCGGAGGCCGGAGGAGGGCGGTGGGCACGTGTGGGTCCCACCTGACAGCCGTCTGCCTGTTCTACGGCTCGGCCATCTACACCTACCTGCAGCCCGCGCAGCGCTACAACCAGGCACGGGGCAAGTTCGTATCGCTCTTCTACACCGTGGTCACACCTGCTCTCAACCCGCTCATCTACACCCTCAGGAATAAGAAAGTGAAGGGGGCAGCGAGGAGGCTGCTGCGGAGTCTGGGGAGAGGCCAGGCTGGGCAGTGAGTAGTTGGGGAGGGGAGAAAGTATTAAGCCAGAACCCAAGGATGGAAATACCCCTTAGTGAGTCAGTTTAGACTTCAGGCTGTTCATTTTTGTATGATAATCTGCAAGATTTGTCCTAAGGAGTCCAATGGGGGATATGTTTTCCTCCCGTGAGGAAATGTTTAGTTCTTGAGGGAAAATCCCTAAATCCTCTATATACTCAGGTTTAGGGAAGGAAAACCTACCCCTCACAACTCCACGCGCAGGGAAAATGATGGACGTGATGCTCGCCTTTAGCTTCCTCCCTATCTGATGGAAGACCATGGAAGACCTCTTGGTCTCTGCAATCAGAAGTCTCAAGTTGACAAGAAAATCATAGTCCCTACCCTGCAGGAGAGGGTACATCCAGAAAAAGCGACCATGGACTCTATTCTCAGAAATCAGTCCAACTTAGTGCAGACCTGGCCAGATGACCAGTGCCCTCCCCGGGGCATTTCACCCATAAATGTGATGAGGAAAGCCCATAAATGGTGGTGAATTTTGCTGAGTGGGGTTAAGACTGGAAACCCCCCTGCAGGAGTTGGTTCTTGAGCAAGTTTTAAAGAAACAAGGAACTAGGATGAGTGTGGAAGAAGGCGGGCACGTCTCAGCCCGTGAAAAAAACTCACAGGTGATCAGTAGTGAGTCATGAGAGAGAGAGCAAGAGAGAGAGTCAGAGAGAGGAGTAAATGGAGGGAGGAAGATGGAGGAAGGGACTCAAGTTCTCAAGACAGGAACAGGGATCTCCTCATGAAAAAAAGAAGAGAGGAAAATGCTCAATCAGCAGAACCTGAGCAGAATATTGAGGTCAACCCAGAAGCCAGCTCCTCACCCACCCTCACCCAGACTGGCGCCCTCATCCTGGAGAAGACCTGCTAGACCCTAAGGCAGGTAGGAGAGAGGGTGGTCCACAGTCCCCCAGCTTTAGAAAGTTTGTTCGCTCCCAATGTCCATCTACCCCTAGGAATCCCCACTAGTTAAACAGAATTGCTAGATCCCTGTGGAAAATACCTTTCCTTGCCCACCATCATCCCCAGAAATAATAACTATTTTAGTTGGGTGTGAGACATAGAGAATAAAAGGGGGCATGGTGCCAGACTTCATTTCATACAAATAGCTTTAAAGGAGAAGAGGGGGGAAGGAGTTTAATTTAGTTTCTAAAATGTTTAGTAATTTGATTGTGATCATGTCAGAGCAACTAATTCATTTTATAAAATATCATTTCACTATGCTCTATAAGTAGAAATTCAATTTGGTTCAACCATTATTGAGTGATATAAATAAAGCACTGGACTTAACAAAGACAGAAATACAGAAATCAGTAGAACATGGATCCCAACCTAAAACTTACTCTCTTGTCATAAAGGAAAGGAGATAGGAGTTTTTGCATAAATAACAAGGTATCAAGACAGAATTAAATTCCAAGCTGGCTTTGAATGCTCTATTTTGCCTTAAAAATTTATTTACTAGTCTCAGTAATACATTAGTAAAAATCATGTCACTTAATTAATTGTGTTAGAATCAAAGAAACATAGAGTTGGGCAATATACTTCATCCTACCCATCCCACCCAAATCTTACTCTACTCATCTCATTCTCATTAATTTTGGGAAATCATCAGAAGATGTGTTCGTTGAGTAAGAGATTAAAAGAAATAAGCTTTTTGACCCCTGCCAACACCCCATGCCCAGGGTGGTCACCCTCCAATACAATAACATGCCAGGAAGAGTAAGTTGCCCTTTCTGATGCCGTAATCTGCCATCATCTTCCCATCTTCCAGTCTCTTTCCATTGCAAGTCACAATCTGGGTCTCAGGGATTATACCCGTCTTAGTCTCGATCATTGCTTTCACTTGTGCCACTGAGCTGGACCTTCGCACCTGGAGGAGGTGCCTCTTTGCCTCATCACCTGACTCCACAAGAAACAAGGGCAGCTCCTCATCACTGGGCTTCACCACTTTCAGGGTAAGGTGGATGGTCTTCTCTTTGTCAATGCCATAAGATGAGAGGCTTCTCCGTGGCTTTAAGATCTTGGAGCCCAGCAAAAGAACCTGGTCCTGCACAGGAACCTTGGTCTTAGACCGGACATGTTCTTTGATTTTTTTCACGCTGTCATATGGGTTGGCATCAAAGGTCATTAAATCCCATTCCTCGGAACGGACATGCACCTGGGAAGTGAAAGCCACAAGACAGTTACCTAGGATGCCTGCCTCCTTTACACTTCTACTCCCCACCACAATGGCTCCCCCTCTTCCACTATCTATCTGGTCCTCTAGCTCCTATTCAGTAGCCAGTGTCCCTCTCTTTCTTGGAACTTCTTTTTTGGAATTACCAAGTTACAACACAAATAAGATAATTTGTCCCATTCCTTTATAATCACACCTTTTTTTCGATCTTGAGAATGGAAAATAAAATCCTGAGCCCCCAACCAACTGAACGGACGCTCTTTTGCTCAGGGGGACCCTAGAGAAACTTTAAAAACTTAGTCATTGGGCCAAGGGTGGTGGCTTACACCTGTAATCCCAGAACTTTGGGAAGCTGAGGCAGGCTGATCAATTGATGCTGGGAGTTCGAGACCAGCCTGGTGAACTTGGTGAAACTCTGTCTCTACTAAAAATACAAAAATTAGCCAGTAGTGGTGGCAAGTCCCTGTAATCCCAGCTACTCAGGAGGCTGAGGCAGGAGAATCATTTGAATCCAGGAGGCAGAGGTTGCAGTGAGTGGAGATGGCACTACTGCACTCCAGCCAGGGCAACAGAGTGAGACTCTGTCTCAAAAATATAAATAAATAAAACATTCAGTCATGATGGAACAGGAGGTTGGATATGCCTCATTGTATCTTCTCCCTTTTGCAGTTTAGACACAACTGACCAGCAAAGTTAGAGATTATAAGACTGAGAGAATGGATTCTTTGTGGCAATAAGATAGCAAATTATAAACAAGACCGAGGGCTATAACAGGCAAAAGTTAAGTCATGCATCCCTTACACTTAAAGAATAAACTATGTTCTGCCACAAAGTTTTTTCTTTTTTCTCTAGCAGCTAAACAAGCACTGGCCTTGACAGGAACAATATTAAAACAATTACAGCTCACCCTGTGTTGGGGAACACAGGCTAACTGACCCCGTGTTCCACAAGCCATAACTACAGTTTTAATTGGACAAAAGACTGATTTCAGTAATTTTCTCCTGATAAGAGACCACTGACCATGGACTGGTTCTGGCTAGTTTACAGAAGCTGTGCATTTGAATGCCTTTGTGTCCCTGCTTCACCTTTTCATGTATAAGGCCTAACTGTAATGCAATTAAATGTT
Source organism: Homo sapiens (assembly GCF_000001405.40). Lineage (NCBI taxonomy): Eukaryota > Metazoa > Chordata > Mammalia > Primates > Hominidae > Homo > Homo sapiens. The sequence goes on from NT_167245.2 coordinate 823,038, forward strand.
AAGTCTCCACTTCAGAGTGACCATGGGTGGTATGTAACATGCAAGCTTATTCAATATGCATGCATTAGGACCCCCTCCATGAATATTCATTGCCTCTGCTATAACCTATTGGATATGTATACTTAGCAAACCCCTTCAGCATAAATTCCTGTGTCACCTTTCCTCCTGCAAAGTGCTTGCTTTTGGTTTTCAATCAGAAGCAAAACTTCCCAGCCTGTCAGAATGGCTACCTTGCAGACTATAACCTTTCATAAGAAATAAACTCCCCTTCTAAATTTATGAATTGTGTGATTTTTTTTAGTTGACAATCTTTACATTTCGTTTTTCTGTGCATTTCAATGGATGTAAAAAACATACCTTTATCCATCTCAAAATGTAATTAGTGATTTTCCACCTTATTTACCTGCCTCTCCTATCCAGATAAAGTTTGTCAAATGTCAACAAGTAAATACGAGGCTTCAAAAGATGTACATCAGACTCTAAAAACAACTCTCAAAGAGAATTTCCAAAATATGACAGCCTCATGAAGATACTCATAGCCATAGGATACCCTCTGTCAATACTTCAGAAGGAAATCCTGGGTAGGACACATAATCACTGAACTGTTAGTTTCTTTTCAAATATCCCACTGCTTTATAATAATAACTCACATACTACCGTGACACTATGTTCAGTGTTTCTTGTTAATTTATATTTCTTGTGTTTTTATTTCTATCTAATGAGAGACAGGACTAGCTGGATTTCCTAGGCCGACTAAGAATCCCTAAGCCTAGCTGGGGAGGTGACTGCATCCACCTTTAAACACGGGGCTTGCAACTTAGCTCACACCTGACCAATCAGGTAGTAAAGAGAGCTCACTAAAATGCTAATTAGGCAAAAACAGGAGGTAAAGATATAGCCAATCATCTATTGCCTGAGATCACAGCGGGAGGGACAATGATCGGGATATAAACACAGGCATTCGAGCCAGCAACGCTACCCTCTTTGGGTCCCCTCCCTTTGTATGGGAGCTCTGTCTTCACTCTACTAAATCTTGCAACTGCACTCTTCTGGTCTATGTTTCTTACGGCTCGAGGTGAGCTTTCGCTTGCCATCCACCACTGCCGTTTGCCACCGTCGCAGACCCGCGGCTGACTTCCATCCCTCGGATCTGGCAGGGTGTCCGCTGTGCTTCTGAACCAGTGAGGCGCCCATTGCCGCTCCTGATTGGGCTAAAGGCGTACCATTGTTCTGCACGGCTAAGTGCCCAGGTTCTTCCTAATCGAGCTGAACACTAGTCACTGGGTCCACGGTTCTCTTCCGTGACCCATGGCTTCTAATAGAGCTGTAACAACCACCACATGACCCAAGATTCCATTCCTTGGAATCCATGAGGCCAAGAACCCCAGGTCAGAGAACACGAGGCTTGCCACCATCTTGGAAGCGGCCTGCGGCCATTTTGGAAGCAGCCCACCACCATCTTGAGAGCTCTGGGAGCAAAGACCCCCTGGTAACACTAATATAGAATGTGATCTCCTTTGATAAGACTAGGGCCTCACTCACAGAAGGTAGGGACTATATCTAAGTCTTACTTCAATAGCTGGAAAATCCTAAAAGATGGGAAAACTCACCCCTAATGGCCACTTGAAAGCCTGAGAAGACCTCCCTCATACTCCATTCAGAAATATTTTCCCAATCTAGATATTGCAGACATTTCTTCACTGGAAGATCTGTGTTAAGCATTGCCTTAATTCCAGGTTCTCTCCATAGTGCATATTTTCTTATATAATGTAATGTGTTAGATCATTAACAACTTCAGATGAATGAGTTTTGTGAAGCTCTCCTTTGAGAGGAGAGGGAAGATTAAGTTTAAGAACCTTAAAAAATGTTACCATAATTTCAAATCTCACCAGCCCTGTGGAACACAAAGCTCACCCCCACTTTTTCTTCTACCATTTATCCCTAAGAGTAGCTAGTCCAATGTTTTATTTAAAAAAGAACACAGAAGCCAGATAACCAGCTTCTCTTCAGACAATCCCTCTTCCCATTCTGCAAATGTCAATGCCAGCCTCTTCTCCTGAAGGATGCCTGCCCAGCCCCCCAGAGCCCTGAGTACTGCCCAGCCCCCGTTTCTAAGATCTCTCCCCAACTCTTGAAAGTGCTTTTCCTTTCCCCATCCCCTTTATCAAATCCCAACTTACACAGAGGCAGGAAGCATTGGGAGCCATCTCTGCAGACAAGGGGCCAGAAACCAGAGACAGAAAAAGGACTTTGCATGCAGCTTATATACCAGAGTTGAGTTGGAAATCCCCTGCCTGGATTGCTGTGTTTGTCCAGCTTTGCTGTGCTCTTTGTTCTTGCATGCTCCCATGAATTTTCTTTCACTTTTGCTGGGCAGGAGTTAATAGACAAAGAATGCTTTCTGATCACATACTTCTCTCCTCAAGCAATCTATTTGCAAACCTCATTCCAAACATGGGATGGTCTTTCTGTGTTGAAAACTTTTCCCTTTTCTCAGGAAAGATCTTTGTCTGTTGAAGCCACCTGGATCTATACCCACAGCCCAAACCTAAGCTGCAGATCTCTATGTCTAGCTGTGTCTGTGTCTATGGGAATTCTCGTTCCTTGAATTCCCGGCATATCCTTGAACACCCCAATCTCTCTGCCATCTCCACGCCACTGAGCATGCCTTTTCCTCCAACTCTATCCCCACCACCATGAATTTATAAGAACACACGGTGTAAACAGTATCTTCGTCAAAAAGCCTTCCCTAACTCTTTTCCTCCCCATCCTGGGTTATGTGTCCATCTTCTATCCTCTACACTTCCTTCAAATGCCTCTCAGAGCATGTTTCTTCAACAATAGCATCGTCTGCTTGTCTGTAATCTTTAGAAAAGAGTAGGAATCTTGGGGGTCGTGATTGTGTCTTAATTAACTTGTATCTTTAGCACTGTTCCAGCATGCTGTCAGGCACAGGAAATAATTTATAAATGTTTACTAAATGCACAAATGAATTAATAAATGAATGAAAAGTAAGTAAATAACAAAAAAAGGAAAAGTAATATTTGGTGAGTACTTAAATTTCAAGAACTGCACAACATATTATTAAATGTTACCTTATTTACTGTTTCAGCATTTTAATGAAGTAAGTACAGGTGCTCCTTCACTTATGATGGGGTTACATCCCTGTAAACCCATTGTACACTGAAAATATCCAAAATCAGAAATGCATTTAATACACCTAACCCACCAAACATCATAGCTTAACCTAACCTGCCTTAAACATGCTCAGAACACTTACATTAGCATACAGTTGGACAAAATTATCTAACAAAAAGTGTATTTACTACTGAAGTGTGAAATATCTCATTTAAGTTATTAAATACTGTACTGAAAGTGAAAAGCAGATGATTTTATGGGAACTTGAAGTAGGTTTCTACTGAGTATGTATTGCTTTGGTATCACTATTAAATAAAAAATCATAAATGGAATCATTGTAAGGAACCACCTCTATTAGTATCCCCGTTAATAAGTAAGAAGCTACCTCATCCACAATCATATTAGTAGTAGCTGGTAAGCAAGGGTTCAAACACTAATCTGTATTTCTATAGTCCTTGTATTCTTCCTATATTATTATGTTATTTCAGTGGGAAAAGGCAGGGAGAAAAGTGCTACTGGAGTTGGGTATTTCCAGCATGGGGTTACTGTGAGGGCAAATCTAATATACTCTCAGAAAAAACTAATTCAGGGGATTCCCTACCCAGAGATGACCTGGATTCTGGGAAATAGTGCCCTTTCAAGAAAACATATGAACAACAAACCTGGACTCTGACCTCTCTCTCTCTCTTTACTCTTCCCTTCCTATGGGAAATTCCCTCCCTGCCCAAAGCCAGGGCCAGGACTGTCCCAGACACCTTGGTGCCCCTTTGCTGACCACAGGCAGGACTTCATCTTGGGACCTGACCTCCTTGCTTCTTACCCAGTGTCAATCTGACTTTTTTCTGTCTCTCTCTATGTCACAATAAGTTCTTTCAGAGACAGATCTCTTTTCATTTGCTGTTTTAGTCTCTTTTGCATACTATAAAGGAATACTTGAGGCTGGGTAATTTATAAGGAAAAAAAGTTTAATTGATTCATAGTTCCTCCAACTATACAAGAAGTATGGCACCAGCATCTGCTTCTGGTGAGGCCTCAAGAAGCTTTTACTCATGGTGGAAGGTGAAGGAGAGCAGGCGTGTCACATGGCAAGAGAGGGAGGTAAGAGACAGTGGGAAAAATGCCAGGCTCTTTTAAACAACCAGCTCTCTTGTGAGCTAATGGAGTGAGAACTCATTTATTACAATGATGACAGCCCCAGGCCATTCATGAGGGATCTGCCACCACAACCCAAACATCTCCCAGTGGGCCCATTTCCAACACTGGGGGTCACATTTCAACATGAGATCTGGAGAGTACAAACATCCAAACTACATCATTTACCCCTCTGACAAATTCAGAAAACCAACTAAAGTGTCAGAGGTGTTTGAACCAGAGCAACTCCATCTTGAATAGGGGCTGGATAAAATAAGGCTGACATCTACTAGGCTGCATTCCCAGGAAGTTAGGCATTCTAAGTCACAGGATGAGAGAGGAGATCAGCACAAAGTACAGGTTATAAAGACCTTGCAAATAAAAGGAAGCAGTAAAGAAGCCAGCCAAAACCCACCAAAACCAAGATGGCAACGAAAGTGACTTCTGGTCATTCTCACTGCTCATTATATGCTAAATAAAACATTAACATGCTAAAAAATATTCCCACCAGGGCCATGGCAGTTTACAGATGCCATGGCAATGTCCAGAAGTTACTCTATATGGTCTAAAAAGAGGAGGAACCCTCAGTTCCAGGAATTTCCCACTTCTTTCCTGGAAAACTTGTGAATAAGCCACCCCTTGTTTAGTATATAATCAAGAAATAACCATAAAAATAGTCAACCAGCAGCCCTCAGGGCTGCTCTGCCTATAAAGTAGCCATTCTTTTTTTCCTTTACTTTCTTAATACGCTTGCTTTCAGTTTACTCTATGGATTCACCCTGAATTCTTTCTTGTGCAAGATCCAATAACGCTCTCTTGGGGGCTGGATCAGGATCCCTTTCCAGTAACAAAAGTAAAAAGATGATGGTATGAAGATCTTGCCAAGTTATAAAACAATTGTGGCGGTTATCTACGAGTGTCCCAATGTGGCCCTGGCTGACGGGATGCTCTTGGGCCTGTCACTGCCCCCATTGAAGCCTACTTGAAGCCTACTTGGAACAGATGTCTCTTTCTAGTCTCTTTAATAACGTCCATGAAAGAGTTTCTAAACTGCTTTGAGATCTAGAATATTGCTTCAAAAATGCCAACCAAACTCAGTCAGAAAGCTAGTGTGAATTCTCATTTATTGGTGATTGGGAAAAAAGTCTACACTCAAAGAAGAACAGTTTGAAAATACCTACCAAAATTTAACATGGACATACCAAACCAAGACAACCAAATGCCTATCAGTATTAGGGAAATAGGTAACCAAATTGTAGAATATCATAAGCAGCATAAATAGAAGGATCATACCTGCAAACAACGATACAGATGAATGTGCTAGAACCTATTGAGTGAAAAAAGTGTTAGAAACAAATGCTTATTCCACGGTGCCGCAAAGAAATAGCACTCAGACATAAATTCAATTTTCTCAGCAAGGAATTTTTACTTCTATAGAAGGGTGTGACTCGCGGATGGAGTAATGGCAAGAGCATACCTGGACAAGGGAGGGGAAGGAGTTCTTATTCCTGAGGCAGGTAGCCCCTACTGCTGTGTCGTTCCCCTATTGGCTAGGTTTGGACCACACAATCTAAGCTAATTCCGATTGGCTATTTTAAAGAGAGCAGGGGTATGAGCCAGAGCGGCAGGGTGGGTAGTTTGGTGGGAAGGGTGGTTACAGAACAGGTGACTCAGGATGATTCAAATCAAAGCAGGTGGCCGAGGGTGACTCCGGATGGAGCAGGTGACCAGGGGAACAGATATGAACCACTGATTAGAACTGACAGGAAAGTTGTTTACTGAAACTAGAGGCAAGAGGGTGAAGAGAACCCGGAAGCTCAACTTTCAAATGGAGAATCAAAGAATAAGAGAGATGAATATGCTGACATACTGATTCTTTGAAGAGAATCTTGGAGTTCACTATATCTAACAAAAGCAAGATGAGTAAGACTACATAAAGTATGATACTCTCCATAAATCTCAAAAGCAAGCAAAACTACATAGTGAGACAGAGAAAAAGAGGAACTACTTGAAATTCAGGATATGTCTGCTTTTTAACAAAAATGAAGCCCAATCTAAATTTTGATATAAGCTACTTGAAGGAGATTTTCAACAGGAAGTAAGAGGGCATTAGAAGCCCTGATATTATTTCATCTTGCCATATTCAGAATCTGAAGTTTAACCAAGAGAACTTAATGTTTGTTAAAGCAATTTATTACTTGAGAGACATACCGTATATTCACTTTATTAAAGGTAAAGTAATAATATCTAAAACAAATGTTCCAAAGAAAACTAAACATAAGCAAAACTGAATATAGTATCTAGAACTACATATGTAAGCAATAAGGCTCTTATAAAAATGTAAAAACCATGAGTGTTCATTATGCTACTATTATGTTTTATAGTGTTACATTATATTATTCTATATGGGTTACATTTATTTATCTGTAGTATCAAAGATTATAATAAAAATATAATTTAAAATTTTTCATGTTCATATCCTCTAGCTCAGCAATTCTGCTTCTAGGAACTTATCCTATTAGTACTCTTTTGGTTTTTTTTTAAGGAGTATCACTCTTGCCTCCCAGCCTGGAATGCAATGGCGCGATCTCGGCTCACTGCAACCTCCGCCTCCTGGGTTCAAGCGATTCTCCTCCCTCAGCCTTCTGAGCAGCTGGGATTGCAGTCATGTGCCACCATGCCTGGCTATTATTTATTTATTTATTTATTTATTTATTATTTTTATTTTTAGTAGAGATGGGGTTTCAGCATGCTGGCCAGGCTGGTCTCGAACTCCTGACCTCAGGTGATCCACCTGCCTCCGCCTCCCAAAGTGCTGGCATTACAGGTATGAGCCACCATGCCTGGCCCTATTAGTACACTTATATATGTGTGAAATAAGCCATGTACAAGAATATTCATGTGAAATAATTATTTGCAACTGAAATAAATGGGAACAACACTTATCAATAGACAACTAAATAAGTGCTGGTGTATACAGTTGAATTAAATTTAAAAGCCAAGTTGCAAAATATATGTATAATATTTTGTTATTTAGAAAGGAAGAAAATATACACATATGCTAAAATGTGCATACAACATCTCTGTGAGGAGACACTGACTCTGCAAGTTGCCTGAGGAGCAGGAATGAGAGGTGGACTATTCATTATATGTCTTATCTTATTATTGTTGCTATTTTTTAGTTTTGCAACTGTGCATGTTTTACACATTCAGATAGGCAGATAGTATGGGAAGGGATAGTATATTTTTTATGTAGTCATCAGCTCAGAATGGAGCTGGCTATAAGCTATGCACCAATGGGAACCAGTTTCAGTGCTCATCACTAGTTGACAGGCAAAGGGCCATGAAAAGTTGGTGGCTATAGTAGGTTAACTATTGTGATTCTGTGCCTTCCCTACTCCCCAAAATTTATTTTCCACTAATCTTTTACATACTGCAAAATTTAGAAACATTGATAATATAGCCCATAATATATCTGAAAGCAAAGAAATTTATAATTAGCTAAAATCAGAGACCAAACCTAATGAAAAAAAAAAAGTAATTCTGAGACAATTGCTGAGCCTGGTACATGGGACTGATGTCAATGTGCAAAAATTGTCCAACCTGACAAAGCAACTGGAATAACTAATGCAGTCATAAGTGCAGGATGATGTGTTGACCAATGGCGCATTTCCACTTTGTAGCAGTCAGGCCATCTTGGAGTGAATCCAGGCTCTGCCTCCTACTTCTCATGCAAGTTATTTGGTACTTTCTTTTGTCAGCTGGGGATTTCGGATTTCACTTAGGATTAGGCTCTGCTACCATTAACAGACATCTGAAAATAATGTGCCTTTAACTAAAACCCCAAAAGGACCAGATCTTAGAAGTCAAAATGACAACCAAGGCTTAAGGAGTTCACCCTAGAACCAAGAAAAAACTGCAATGATCCATTCCAGCAAAATGTAAAGCCAGTTTTTCAGAAGTTCAAAGTGATAAGTGGGTAATATATCTGCTTATTAAACAAGATTCAATACGCTTCAGAGAAAGATAATAGAATACAAAATAGATAAAGGTAATAGAATACGGAATCTCTGTAACATATTACTCACATCATCAAGTGTAAAACAGGAAATCACCAATCATGTGAAGAAACAGAAATATTAGACAAACAGTTTTAAATCCTCAATAAAAACAAACCCAAACGCCACCGAAATGTTAGAATTATCAGATGGAGACTTTAAAATCACTATAGTATTTTAAAGAATCCACAGGGAAAGATTTATACAATGGGTAAAGAAATGATGAATTTTAGGAGACAGATGTAGAAACTGCCATTTTAAAAAGCCAAACAGAAATGCTGGAACTGAAAAATACAATATCGTTGACCCTTGAACAACAAGGGTTTGAACTGCATGGGTCCATTGAATGTAGATTTTTTTCAGTAAATATACTGGAAAATTTTGTACCTTTGTGACAATTTGAAAAAACTCGCAAACTTCATAGCTTAGAAACATCAAAATAATTAAGAAACAATTAGACATATCATAAATGCATAAAACATACGTAGATACTAGCATACTTTATCATTTACTATAAAATATACACAAATCTATTATAAAAAGTTAAAATTTATTAAAACTCACACACAAATACTTATAAACAATCATAAAATACAGTATTAAATCATAACTGCGTAAAATTAGTCATAGTACATTCTGTCTTACTATAATAATTATGTAGCCACCTCCTGTTACTATTGGGTGAGCTCAAGTGTTGGGAGTATGGGATTAAAATGTCATGTAATACTAATCATTCCCACGTAAGCAGTTCGTCTTCTCTTTAGGAAAAAGTGATGTCTCACGGTTCTTGCGGTTGTCCTGTTTTTGTTTTGTTTGTTTGTTTATTACAGAGTTTTGCTCTGTCGTCCAGGCTGGAGTGCAGTGGCACGATCTCAGCTCACTGCAACCTCTGCCTCCCGGGTTCAAGTGATTATCCTGCCTCAGCCTCCCAAGTAGCTGGGATTAGAGGCATGCACCACCACGCCTGGCTAATTTTTGTATTTTTAGTAGAAACGTTCTTTGGTTCAAGACGGCCAGGCTGGTCTTGAACTCCTGACCTCAAGTGATCCACCCCCCTCGGCCTCCCAAAGTGCTGGGATTACAGGTGTGCCACCGCGCCCAGGATCTTGTGTATTTTTAATTGTGTTTAGTGCAATTCCATAAAGCCTGAATAACACCACGAGACCCATATAGTGATGCTGGAAGTTTTCCCTGGAGACAGAGAAAAGCCATAACATTACAGGAAAAAGTTGAATTGCTTGATATGTGCTATAGATTGAGGTCTGCTGCTGCAGTTTCCTGCCATTTCTGACTGATGTTTCATCTCTTAACAGATGACACAAACTTACATAATTGATAAATACGGTATTGTACTGTCAGTGTATTTTCTCTTCCTTATAATTTTCTTAATAACATTTTCTTTTCTCTGGCTCATGTTATTGTAAGAATACAGTATATAATACATACAACATACAAAATATGTGTCAGTCAACTGTATATATGATCAGTAAGGCTTCTGGTTAACAGTAGTTTATTAGTAGTTAAGGTTTAGGGGAGTCAAAAGTTATTCATGGATTTCCAAATGTATGAGGGGGTCAGCACCTCTAACCCACGCATTGTTCAAGGGTCAGCTGTATACGACTTTCTGGTAAAAAGAACCAGGAGTCCTTGGAGAGATGGTTGATCCCAGACAGAGGAAAGAGAACATACAAGATAACCCTGGAATACTGTATGATGCCAGAAACTAAAGAAGTCATTAAAAAAAAAAATGAGGACACATCAAAAAACTCACAGTAATCACGTTAAAGGATTTCCCCATAGCCAAGTCTGGGAAAATGTAAACAGCAAAGTAAATAATGAGAATAATGAAGAAAGAATAAAATAAACATCCAGGAGTCATTACTGGATATGAATAAAGAAAATAAACAGTAAACGAATAGGAGGAGAGGGACAGCTCTTACAAAATTCAAAATAACAAACATAGGAGAAATGATGAAAGTTATCATTAGGCAAACAGCCCAATAGTAATTGTTACAGTCAAAACTCATTTGTGGATGCTAAAATTAGTAGGCAAAACTATAATGAGAAAAAGATACTTGCATAATCTCAAAGTATTACCATAAATACTTATTATGTTACTTATATTATTATAAGATATGACTACAGTTTTAATAAGACAACACAGTTAAAAAAATGAAAAATAATTTGAATAAAAGACACGTAAGGACCAATAAAGCACATGATAAGATGTTTAACACCATTAACCATCACAGAGCAAATTGAAACGACTTGAGGGAGCACTTCACAGCCGATAGAATGCCTAAAACCAAGAGACTGACAATTCCAAGTATTACCAAGGATGTGGAACATCTGGAACTCTCATCGCTGTAGGGAGTGTAAATGGCACAATCACTCTGGAAAGCAGTTTAGCAGTTTCTTATAAAGATAAACAGACAGCAAATGACTCAGAAATTCCAATTCTAGGTATTTACCCAAAATAAAGAACACATGTGTTCACACAAAGAACGAAGAACCATATACAACACAACTAACTGTTCTCTCCTTCTTCTTCTTCTTCTTCTTCTTCCTCTTCCTCTTCCTCTTCCTCTTCCTCTTCTTCTTCTTCTTCTTCTTCTTCTTCTTCTTCTTCTTCTTCTTCTTCTTCTTCTTCTTCTTCTTTTTTTCGGACCCAGGCTGTTGTGCAGTGGCATGATCATGGCTCACTGCAGCCTCAACTTCCTGGGCTCAAGTGATCCTCCCACCTCAGCCCCCCAAGTAGCTGAGACTACAGGATGCACCACGATGCCCGGCCAATATTTTGTATTATTTTGTAGAGACAGGGTTATATCATGTTTCCCAGGCTGGTCTCAAACTCCTGGGCTCAAGTATCCTCCCACCTTGGCCTCCCAAAGTTCTGGGATTACAGGTGTGAGCCACCATACCCAACAATTGTGGCTTCTTTCATAGCAGCCCAAAACTAGAAACAACCCAAATGCCCATCAATGCATGAATGGATAAACTGTGGTATATTTATACAGTGAAATACTATTAGCAATAAAAAGGAGCAAATTACTAATATATGAAACACTATGAATGAATTTCCATAACAAGCCAGATAACAGAAGCCAGAAATAAGGCATGAAGCTAGGCATGGTGGCTCATGCCTGTAATTCTAGCATTTTGGGAGTCCAAGGTGGGTGAATCACTTGAGCCCAAGAATTCGAGACCAGTCTGGGCAACACAGCGAGACCCTGTCTCTACAAAAAGTACAAAACTTAGCCGCGTGTGGTGGCCTGCACCTGTAATCCCAGCTACTTGGGGGGTTGAGTCCAGGAGGTTGAGGCTGCAGTGAACTGTGATCACACCACTGCACTCTAGCCTGGGTGACAAAGTAACACCTTGTCTCAAAAAACATAAAAAAAGTAAATTTCATTGAAGTACAAATTACGGGTAATAAAATGCACACATTTTAAGTATATTGTTCAATAAGTTTTGACAAGTGCATACACTTGGATAACCAATACCCCATTCAAGATATAGAGCATGCATTTTCATTATTCTAGAAAGTTATCCTATGCCCTGTCCCAGACAACCAATCATCTGATTTCTATCTTGCTAGATTTGCTTTTCCTGTTGTAGGAAAGTTATGTCAATGAAATCAGGTGGTATGAATGTATGAATGCTTGCTTGCTTGCTTTTTTTTTTTTTTTTTTTTTGAGACAGGGTCTCACTCTGTCACCCAGGCTGGAGTGCAGTAGTGCAGTGGTGCAATCACGGCTCCCTACAGCCTTGACCTCCTAAGTATATTGAACAATATACTTAAAATGTGTGCATTTTATTACATGTAAATTCTATCTTAAAGAAGTTTATTTTATTTTATGTTTTTTTGAGACAAGGTCTGACTCTGTCACCCAGGCTAGAGTGCAGTGGCATGATCACAGCTCACTGCAGCCTCAATCTCCTAGGCGCAGGTTATCTTCCCAGCTCAGCCCCCCAAGGAGCTGGGACTACAGATGAAGGCCACCACACCCGGCTAAGTTTTTGTACTTTTCGTAGAGACAAGGTCTTGCTATGTTGCCCAGACTGGTCTCGAACTCCTGGGCTCAGGTGATCCATTCCTCTTGGCCTCTTAAAGTGCTGGGATTACAGATGTGAGCCACCATGCCCAGACTGAAGTTGATTTTAAAAGCAGAAATGAGCTACTGATACTTGAAACAACATGAATAAATTGCAAAATAATTACTCCTAGTGAAATAATTCTTACTCAAAGGAGTATATATTATTCCATTTGTATGAAGTCCTAGAAGAGGCAAAACTAAGTATCAAGGAAAGAGGCAAGTGGAAGGTTTGTAGGATGATGGAAATCTTCTGTTTCTTCATTGAAGTCATCAAAATTCATCAAAGCGTATATTTCAAATCTGTGCATTTTATTGCATGTAAATTATATCCAAATGTCTACCAGTAGAGAAGAAACAAGAAATAACGAAGTCTTACATGGGTTCAAATGAGACTTGAGAGAAAAGAATGGGACACACTCAGGAGAGGTGGCAATGAGAAAACATGACCTTGTGCTCCTCAATGACACAGAGGAGCAGAAGTGACCTTTTTACTTACCACAGGGAGCACCAATGCTGGCACGTTTCCTCTGAATCATCTCCTTCTTTCTTAATCATCATTAGCACCAGTGGCTAATTAATTGTCTGTGAACTGTGACGCTCTGGAGTCTTGGGAGAATTAACAAGCCATTTCTCTCCATGGGATGGGAGTCCCGGGATCCCTCCCTCCATCACTTCACCACGTTTTCTTCTCTATCTCCACTACCATTAAAAGACAGGTTAACTTACTAGGTTGAAGAGGAGAGGTTGTGGGCAAAGAGCAACCTTCAGCCTTACAGGTCCAGAAGAAGGATGGTGGTGGGGTATAGTTTGTGCCTGACTCTAGAGCCAACCCACCTGGGTTCAAGTCTCAGCTCTGGCTATATAATTCTGAGCTAATTATTTAACCTATGTTTTAGTTTCTTCATCTGAAAATAAATATAGAATATAGAAATATTATCCAGGTCATACAGAGGTTGTGAAGTGCTTTGAAAGGTGTGGCAGCAGCATTAGAAGTCAACATTACTACCTGAGCCCTAATCCACCACCCTTTCAAAGGTGCCCAACACTCCTGACTTTGCTTGTAGATTTCATTGTGAGGATTAACTAGAGGCTCACTCAGTCTAGAAGCTCGTTGTCAGGGAGAAGCTCCGGCAGCAGGCAATGGGGAGATTGTGACATGATTGAGGAAAAGTTATAAGTTTATTCTTCTCCTACTGTCCATTAATGTCCACATATCGTCAATGGTAGAGCTACCCCAGGAGCACCAGATTTGGAATCAAACAGGACTCAGACTCCAGGCCTGGTCTTCATCGGCTATGTAACCTTGGGCAAGCTACTTAACCTCTCTGCGACCATTTCTTCTTCTGTAAAAGGAAGATGATATTAACTACCTCAAAGAGTTATGAGAACCAGGTATTCAGGAAATGTTTAGCATGGTGCCTGGTGTATAGGAAGCACACAACAGATGGTAGCTGCCAAAGTATTAACGTGGTTTTCACTAATGAATTGGAGAAAAGAATTGATATTTCATTCCCTTGTAGCACCTAGTACACAACTAGGTCTTTGGTGATTAATAAAGAAATAAATACATCCGTGAATATGAAATTAATAGGAAGAGAGTAAAGTTGTACTGGACTTTTGTGGGTGTCCAAGAAAAATTAAAAAGACCAGAAGAAAGAGAGTGAGAACAAATACACGTTGTGAAACACAGAACAAGAGAGAACAGAAAGAGAGTCAAAGAACTATGTAAATTGAAGAGACTGAAAAATGACATAGAGTGAAGCAATGAATTACCAAGAGTATAAGAGTGTAAGAGAGGGATGCAGAAAGTGTATTAGAATGATGGTTGACAGATAAATAAGGAGGAGTTGGCTATTTTTTACCAACACAAAGGGTGTAATGTTATAAGACAATATAGGAATGATTTTGTAAAAGTAATAATTGAAATAGTCATTGCGTCTTCAGGAGTAGGTAGTAGGTATGATTAGGGAAGGGCACGCAGAAGGCTTTTAAGATTTAAACAATCTTTTGTTAAAATATTCAACAATATTTTAAAGGAAAAATTTTTCTCAGAGTAAAAAGAATATAGGAGGAAGGAAACGAAAAAAGAGACAAATATAAACAGGTTGAACAAATAAAAAGATGAGATGGGGCTTTTAAACACACAAAAAAGAGACACTGCAATGGGTAGATGCTGCCAACCTATAGCCTCTCCAGCCACCTCCCCATCAACTTGCCCAGTTCCTGCCTCTCAACTGCCAGAGTGGCTGCCACCGTCCACCCATATCTGAGTTGGCCCTGTGTGCTGAAACTCTCTTCACCTTCTCAAAAACACAGTCCCCTCCTCCAGGAAGCATTCCCTGATTCACTCAACCACCCTACTCATTTTCTTTACAGATCTATCTCTCACCTCTAGCCCCCTACCCCAATATTTTTGCCTTATTTGCCTGCAATGTTTCAAGTTTTCTGCTGATGTTGAATGTACTACCCAGGGTTTTTCAAAGCCATGAGACTACTCTTTCTTCCAGCCCATAAGCTCCTCCGCCTTGAATGACCACATTGTTCAATAATTTGAAGTAGACTCCTTACTTCAGTGACTTAGGATAGGCTACTAAAGAGGATAAAGTCAGACCTGACATCTAAGTACAATATGTGACTCTCAACTGGATCCTACGTGGAAAAAAAAAAATCCTACAAAGAACATTATTGGGACATAGAGAAAATAAGAATATGGACTGTGTGTTACATAACAATACTGTATCAATTTTAAGTTTATTGAATTTAATTGCTGTACAGTGTTAATTAAGATCATCTTGTTGTAGAATATGAATACTAAGACAATAAGGAGAAAGAGGCATGATGTCCACAAGTTATTCCCAAGTGACTCAGAGTAAAAATGAAAATACATAAACATATTGAGTATAATGATAGTGAAAATGAGTAAAAATACTAAAAATTGATGAATTTGATAAAGGTTATATAGAAGTTCTTGGAACTACACTTGCAACTTTTCTGTAAGTTTCAACTTATTTCAAAATCAAAGGTTTTTAATTGCATGTGAATAAAATTAACCGAGCATTTTCAAAAGCAAAATTCTACTTACATGTCCCAAACTCAACATGGTATGTTTTTACTACTATATTTTATCTTACATGAAAAGGAGAGGATATTGAAATCTATTTCAGCTTTCTAACACCAAACATCAATTCTTCAGGATTTTTTTGCAGTTACAGAACCAGAAAATAATCTTTCTGACTGACATTATATTTTTTCTTATTTTTACATATTACACATAATGGAAAATTTAGGCAGGACATTTCATTTGCAGGAGAAATGTTTGTTCTTAGTTTAATAAGTCATAATTTTTTTTGAAAGACCTAAATCACCTGACTGATCTTTCTAGCAGTTGAGTCATTTCACATACAGAAGAAATCTCCACAGTCCACATTTCTATCACTGGTCAAATCTCTTGCAAAAGTGTAAAGTAGATAGAATGTGAATGATTTGAGAAAATTTATGCCCACCACTAGAAAACATGATGAATTCTCTAGTAATGTTTACAATTAGGAAACTCACTGAACACACATTTCTTTGTATTTCCTTCCACACATAACAAAGGGAAAATTCAGTAGTAGCATAGCGATCAGAACATAATAGGTACTTAATAAATTTTTGCAAAATTAATAAAAACTAACTAGTTAGCTGATCTATGCTTCACATCAGACGTTTTGCATTCAACCAGGAAGTCAGAGGCACCAGTGTGAGGCTCAATCCGTTGTTGAGCACATTAATGGTTTCCTCACTCCCACTAGACAATGTTTGATCAGAAGGAACAGGGGATGAGAAGGAGCTGCTTGATGGTGATGAGACTGGGAAAGGAACGCTGGGCGAGCAGAGACAAAAGAGAAACACTCACCTACTGGGACCTCACAAACACCCAGGCTGAGTTTTAATAAGACAGGTTGAATCACACTGGGGTGACAGCCTCATCCTTCCAGATACAGAGAGGAACAGGCCATGGTTAACCAAAGCTCCGCACCAGGCTTTCTCCTTCTGGGCTTCTCTGAACACCCAGCACTGGAAAGGACTCTCTTTGTAGTTGTCTTCACTTCCTACCTCCTAACCCCGGTGGACTCATCATCCTGCTGTCTGTGCTGGACCCCAGGCTCCACTCTCCAATGTACTTTTTCCTCTCCAACCTCTCCTTCTTGGACCTCTGTTTCACCATAAGTTGTGTCCCCGGGATGCTGGTCAACCTCTGGGAGCCAAAGAAGACCATCATCTTACTGGGCTGCTCTGTCCAGTTCTTCATCTTCCTGTCCCTGGGGACCACTGAGTGCATCCTCCTGACGGTGATGGCCTTTGACCGCTACATGGCTATCTTCAAGCCCCTGCGCCATGCCACCATCGTCCACCTCTGCCTGTGCTGGCAGCTGGCATCTGTGGCCTGGGTCATTGGGCTGGTAGAGTCAGTGGTCCAGACACCATCCACCCTGCGCCTGCCTTTCTGCCCCCATCAGCAGGTGGATGATTTTGTCTGTGAGGTCCCAGCTCTAATTCGACTCTCCTGTGAAGACACCTCCTACAATGAGATCCAGATGGCTGTTGCCAGTGTCTTCATCTTGGCTGTGCCTCAGCCTCATCCTTGTCTCTTATGGAGCCATTGCCTGGGCAGTGCTAAGGACTAACTGCAAAAGGGCAGAGGAAAGCTTTTGGGACCTGCTCCTCCCATCTCACTGTGGTCACCCTCTTCTACAGCTCAGTCATTGCTGTCTACCTCCAGCCCAAAAATCCCTATGCCCAAGAGAGGGGCAAGTTCTTTGGTCTCTTCTATGCAGTGGGCACTCCTTCACTTAACCCTCTCATATACACCCTGAGGAACAAGGAGGTAACCAGGGCATTCAGGAGATTGCTGGCGAAGGAAATGGGGCTCATACAAAGTTGAGGGAGAGCTGTTTAATGTGCTTTCTAAATTAAGAAGAAATTATTTATCCTTTTGTGAACAAGTTTGAGCTCCCAAGTATACTACCTTTCATACACCCATCACAGTGTTTACAATGGGTCACAGTATATGAGTGTGTGTGAGAGAGAGAAAGAGACAGAGAAAGACTAAGAGTCAGGTAAGAGGAGGTAGGTATCTTTAATTAACATCTAAAGCTCAAAAAGATTATCATACCTGCCCATTTTTAATATTTAATTTCTATATTTTTATTTTCTTTTCAATTTGGTTTTTAACTCTCTTCTCCCCTACAGGTTCTCCAAATGCACCATGCCTATTTCTGGTTATGTAACCCCTCTCCGATTGTTACATTATCATCATCATTTTACCATCACTTGTGATTCTTTTTTTTTTTTTTTTTTTTTTTTGAGATGGAGTCTCACTCTGTCGCCCAGGCTGGAGTGCAGTGGTGCGATCTTGGCTCCCTGCAACCTCCGCCTCCTGGGTTCAAGTGATTCTTCTGCCCCAGCTTCCTGAGTAGCTGGGACTACAGGCACATGCCACCATGCCCAGCTAATTTTTTATTTTTAGTAGAGACGGGGTTTCACCATGTTGGCCAGGCTGGTCTCGAACTCCTGACCTCAGGTGATCCACCCGCCTCGGCCTCCCAAAGTGCTGGGATTATAGGAGTGAGCCACATCACCCAGCCACTTCTGATTCTGACAATGTCTTCTTTCCTTTGTCATCAGGATGGTTCATCTCCACTTGCTTGAGGTGGACTGACAGGAAGCTGACACTCAGAGAATTTAGTAATTTCACCCAAGAACACACAGCAATTTGTTAGACCTAAATTGAGATGCATATCTGTTAACTTACCAAGTGCATGCTGTTGGTTTTACACCATTATAAATATACCAACATCATTAGGATTTATACCCAAATGGGTTATCAGGCAGAAAACTCTATTTTTCCAGTCCTAGTAAGTTTTCTGATCATCCAGCTTTCCAGGGATCACAACACTAATCTCCTGCCAAATCCTGAAAATGTGCTCCCATTCCTGGAGATGATTTTCCTTTACCTCTTCTCAACCTCTGCATGACAGTGACCATGAGGAGTTGTGAGTCTGCTCTTCAGTGGCTACACAGTGCTAACAGCTGTCCTGCATCCATTTTCTAGTGCAGTTCTGAAATTCTGACCAACCTCTACTAGCCAGGCACAAACATGAAATCCAATTGTAAGTAATAAAGTGCTGCAATGGAGCCTGGATGGAGCAAGGGCCTCAGAAAAAAGGGAGCAGCAGTGTAAGCCCCAACTTCTATGAAATCTTATTTCCTTTTTCAAGTTGATCTACATTCATTACATTCTCAAAGCCTCACATGAATGGAATGGAGAGTGTGATGGAAAAATCTGTTTAGAACTGAACCATTCTCTCCTCTTTCCTGTCAGGAAAGAGGTTATGCTGTGATAACAATACCAATCCTCAGTGACTTGAAACAGCATAGGTTTATTTCTTGCTGCTGCTGCATGCCCATTGTCATCCAACCAGAGGTTCTGCCTTGTCATCTTCACCCAAAGATGTGGACTGACAGAACACCCACCATCTCAAACACTCCTAGGTGCTGGGAAAGGAGGAAATAATAAGCATGACAAATGGCAAACTAGCACTTAGTTTCCAATCGGAAGTGGCATAACACTTTGACTCATTGGTCATTTGCCAAAGCAAATCTCATGGCTACATATAACTTCAAGGTGAGGGGAAATAAACCAATCATGTGGCAGGAAAGGGAACCAGAAATATTTGGTGGATGATATGAATGACTACTAACTGGCTCTTTGCCTCCAGTCTTGACCGATTGAAATTGATTATCCATGTTGAACCAGAGTAATCATTCCAAAATACAAATTTGAATATGTTACTCCCTTAGCCAAAAATAATATATAGAATCCCCCTGCAATAAAATGTGGAGCCCAAACTCCTAGATCGGGTTCCTGTTTTCCAGACTTTACCATCCCCACCTCCTAAGGCTCAACCACCTAGAATCCTGCAAGTTCACACAACTACCTGCAAGTGCAAGTGTATGAACCACACCAGGCTCTCTGCCACCTTTAGCCTTTGAACGTGCTCCTCCCTCTCTTTGGAAGACTCTCCCCTCCAGCTCCTCTCTACCACCAACAAAAAGCACTTCCCATGAAGTAACAGGATCTTTTTAATTGTCTGCCTCTCAAAGTACACAGTAAGGAAAGTGAGGGTCAGGGTTTTGGCTCACTTATCCTTATACTCTTAGTGCCTGGCATAGTATCTGGCACAGTAGGTATGTAATGAATATTTATTACAGTCAACCCTCAGTATCCCCAGGGAATTAGTTCCAGGACACCCCTCAGATACCAAAATCTGCAGATGCTGAAGTCCCAAAGTTGACCTTGCAGAACTCACAAATACAAAAAGTCGGTTCTCACATCCATGAGTTTAGCATCCTGAGAATATTGTATTTTCAATTCATGTTTGCTTGTGGATGCAGAACCTGTGGGAATGGAGGATAGACTATATTTACAGAAAGAAATCCTAGGGCCTGCGTCCTCACGAAAGCATTGGCCTCCAGCGTGGGCTAACAGCAGAGCAGGGCGGAGCTGGCCCATGGTTGCAGACCTCTGTGCCAGCCTCCCCTAGACAAGAGCGCCGTGTCGAGGAGAAGAAATCGGCTCAAGCTCTGGGCCCATGATGCCTGCTCCTTCCAAAGACTGTGGCAGATTACGCCAACTGGGATCCGGCGGTCGCAAGGTCTAGAGGAGTCAAGAAAGCCATCACCAACGTCGTTCAGCAGGAAGTAAAATCCCTTTGTGTCTTGGAAGCCTCCCAGGTTCCTGCAGAAGAAGCTGTTTCTGGAGCTAGTGAGCCCTATGACATCATCGACAGCAGTAACTTGAAGAAGAGCAGACATGGAAGAGAAATCTGCTTTTCACTTTATATTTTTGCCTGTCTTTTAAATGTTACAGCTGTGTGTGCTTTACATATTCAAAATAAATTGTGTGTATGTGTGTGTGTGTGTGTAAATTTTAAGCAGTTAATAGGTTCAAGGCAGAAGTGGCTACAAGTTTATGCCCCAGTAAGAATCAGTTCCAGTGCTCTTCATTAATTGCCAGGCAAAATAGCCATAGTAATGTAGTAACTAGAATAAAATTTAAATTAGGTTAGTTATAAACACCCTATCCATTATCGACTCCCAAAGCTGCTTCATCCATGAATATTTAATATGCCACAAAACTATCAGAGATTGCTAATATATCCCATAATATAATATGAAACCAAAAGATTTTTCAAAAAGCTAAACTTGGGAGAGACTCATAGCAAAATGACATGTAATTCTGAGGTCATCACTGAGTATGGTACTTGAGTCTATCGCCACATGTGAAAAGCATCTGAATATAATCCAAAAAGCTATTGCAGTCATGGGCTGCAGAATAATGCGGTGGCCAAGAGGCTGTAATATTGTGATATAATAAGATATACATATTTGGCCTTTGATCCCAGTTCCTGGCACAGAGTTCCTAAGGCCCTTGTAATTCCCTGAGCAATAGGGGTGCTAGGAGAGTCTTTTGTTCTAATATTTGGTCTTTGACCAAATATGTCAGTTCCTAACATTGAGCTCTAATCCCTTGGAATTTCCTGGGTAACAGGAGCATCTTTTGTTCTAATGAGGTGACCCCTTGGGGGACCCCTGAATGGGGACTCTGACTAGAAGGACCAAGCCATGATTAGAAGTTTGAAACTTTCAGCTCTACCCTCATCTTCCAGAAAATCGAGAGTGGCTAGACATTGAGTTAATAATCAACTATATCTATTTGATGAAGCCTCCACAAAAATCCCTGAACTACAGAGCTCCGAGAACTTCCAGGCTGGTGCACACACAGAAATGCTGAGAGGGCAGCATGCCCCAGAAGCTCTGTAACCCTTCCCACACACCTTTTCCTGTACATCTCTTCTATTTTGTTGTTCATTTGTATCCTTTGGAATATCCTCTATAATAAACTGGTAAATTGAACTAAAGAGCTTTCATGTATTCTGTGAACTGCTCTAATAAATCATCAAACCCAAGGAGGGGATTGTGGGAACCCCCAGTAGGGTTCCCAGTAGGTCAGAAGTTCCAGAAGCTTGGACTTGTGATTGGCATCTGAAGTGGGGAGCAGCCTTATGGGATCCTTTAACCTGTGGGATCTCACTGTATCTCCAGGTGAATAATGTCAGAAGTGAATTGAATTGAATTATAGGACACCAAGTTGGTGTCCACTGAAGAATGTATTGGTCAGTCTGGAAGAAAAACCAACATGTTGGCCGGGCGTGGTGGCTCAGCCCTGTAATCCCAGCACTTTGGGAGGCTGAGGCGGGCGGATCACAAGGTCAGGAGATCAAGACCATCCTGGCTAACAAGGTGAAACCCCGTCTCTACTAAAAATACAAAAAATCAGCCAGGCATGGTGGCAGATGCCTGTAGTCCCAGCTACTCGGGAGGCTGAGGCAGGAGAATGGCATGAACCCAGGAGGCAGAGCTTGCAGTGAGCCGAGATCGCGCTACTGCACTCCAACCTGGGCAACAGAGCAAGACTTCCATCTCAAAAAATAATAAAATAAAACAAAACAAAATAAAATAAAATAAAAACGAACATGTTTTGGTGACTAGAAGTGTTGAATGTTGAGAATATAGTAGGAGAAAATGGTCAGTTTGGGGGTTTTCTACAAATACACAGAGCCCTTTCGCATTGCGCAGCATCCAATTTGAATCCTGGACCTGCAAACTCATGCCCAGGATATAGTGCCATATCAAGGGCAGCATTTGCATGTTTCTGGCAGGCCGGACGTTCAGTAGCTGCAGGAGTTAGATCAGTGTTGGTGAGTGAAAGCCATGCTGTTGAACACATACAGACCTGCATCCTGCCACCATAGTTACTGCCTTCATAAGTCCATTTTTACCAGCACTAGGGTGGCCTGTGGAGAAGACTGCTTAGTGTGAACTGGCCTATAGTCACTGTTTACTTGGTTTAGAAGAGGTTTAGAGCCTCTTCTATTGTGGATGCTTTCTAGTGGGCATTAGCATGTAACACAAAGATATTCACAATTTTCCCAATTTCATAAATAAAAAGATTTCCCATTTTCATAAACCTATCCAAGTGCCTCTTCCTCAAATTTCATTGTTCTTCATCTTCTAAACCTCCTCCTTCCAAGCACTTGACCAACCAACCAAGCCATTTGCCACTGCCCATGTATTCACAAATATTCTTCCATTAGGCCATTATTCTTTCTACACAAAATAGATAATCAGGTGCACTACTCAAAGCTTTGCCCATTGGGAAGATTTACAATTTCTACTGTCTTCCAGAACTACTCTTGAGTGTGGCTATAATGCAGCAGCAGTCCATTTTCAGCTCACACCAATGTGTTGAGCAGATACATCCATGAACCAAGGTCATCTTATTTTTCCTCCATTAGCCAATCATAAAGTACCCCTCCCCCCCCATGACAGATTAAAGATGGCTGCAAACTATCGGACAATCATCCCATCAGGAGGGCTATCTATTTCCCCTCCCCTTGAATCTGTGCTAGTCTATGACTGTTTTGACAAAAACAGCGTGGCAGAAGTGACACCATGCCAGCTCTGGGGCCAGCCTGTAAGAGAACTGGCTGTTCCTCCTTGCTATCCTGGAGTCCCGAATTTCCAAGTAAAAAGTCTATCATGCTGGGCAGACCATGTAGAAAGGCCCTGAGATAGCATGAAGACAGAGAAAATGAGCCCAAACTTACAGTGAACCCACCAAGGTGCCAGGCATGTGAGTGAAGCTGTCTCGGACCCTCTAGAGCAGTCCATCTGCCAGCTGAATACTTCCAAGGGATCCCAGCTGATGCAACATGGAATATAAGGAAACCCAGCCAATTTCGTTCCAAATTCTTGGCCCACAACATGTGAGATACAATAAGGTTTGTGTTCATTTAAGCCATTAAATTTGGGGAGACTTTGTTATGCAGCAATAAATAACTAGAACACTCCCATGAGCCACTGGTATGAGCAAGTTGGGAAGTACCAAGGCCACAGCGTGGAGGACATGGGAATCTGGGCCCCCCACTTCAGCACCTTGCATTTACCCTCCAGTTCTGCCCATGACTGATGCAGGATATACGACTTCTCTCTTACAACTGATGATGTTGCAACCACTAGACCTCATCACTTGATTGATTTGACAGGACCCAGCTCATGATGGACAGTTGTAGCCTAATAGCCATTTGATGTCTCATGATCAGGAGCTCTGTCTCTAGTAAGGCCCAAGAGCAAGCTAGGACTTGTTTCCTAATGGGGTTTACTTTCCTGCAGCAGACAGCATAGATTTGATGAAGAACCCCAGGGATCTATGTTGTGATTTTCCTTTCAAGGCTTGCCCAAAATGCCACACTGTATCTTTTCCCACCACTGATACCTTTAGTGCCCCAGAGTCTATTGAGTCACATGACCAAAGCACTACCACACGGCTGATATGACAGCTTAGAACAGCTGCGGACCCCAGGTCTGCTCTGGGCTTCAGTCAGTCGCTAGTAAACTGTTCCATGTGGTATTCCCATGAGTGTGGAATATGTTTCCTCTAGATCCTAAATAGGACAACCAAGCATTCTCTACCCTGGAGAAGAGGAAGGAGAAGACCAAGATTCACTGCTGGAAGAAGAAAACAGCCTATGAGGCTACAGAAACAGGCAGAAAAGAACGTGGAGAAGAAAACTGACAAATACACACAGTTCTCCTCAAGACCTATGGACTCCTGGTCTGAGCCTAATAAAGACTGTTTATTCCAAAAAACACCTCTGTATTATAAATTCTTCTGTGTAATAGTGTGTTACTGTGCATCTCTTTCCAATTCTGCATTACTGGTGTTAAGTGTGAAATGCAATAATGTGTTCTTACTTTAGAGGGATGTCCTGGCACAAAGTCTAAAAACTTCAAAGATGTGGAGGATGCTGAATCTTCACAGGGTGTATTTCCCACTCTCTGGAGTGCATTTGTCTTACCAGTGCCGCCAATATGCTTGCCCTCATGGCTCATTCTGTTTGGTTAATAAGATATTGTTGATACAGTGGAACGATGTCATGTTTTGTGGAATGTCCAGAAGGTCCACGTCCAGTGGTGTGCTGCATGCAGCTAGCTCATACTGCCTCATGGAGCCAACTGTTAAATTTTCAGAAATTGTGCAAACCAGTTGTTAAACATGACTATTATTTTAAAATAAGTTATTTTAAGGCATAGGTAACAAATCCCTAAGCTCTTCATTTTCTAGGTATTTAACTATCTTATCATATTTTCCATACTCTTCTGGTTATTTATATCTGTTATGTCTATATAATAAAGATACTAAATAATGTTGTCTGTATAATAAAAATATTCTGGATTGGTGATGAGCAACAATCACCATCTTTCGTTTGAGTCTCATGGCCATGAGACCAACCCCATGCACTGCTCTGAGACCTGCCAGCCACTCCCATTCCTGGGGTGCGGTCCTCCTGGTTCAGAAGTGATTTTCCATTAGGCTATCTTTTAATTTAAACATGAACTCTGCTGTGCCCATCACTGTCTGTGTGCAGTCACAGGTAGAGGGAGAGCCTTCAGATGGCACCCTCAGCACTTCCCAACCCTTTCCTTCCCTCTAGGCCAGAAGGTGGTGGTCGTACAATGCGAGAGCATCAACATTTCTGGCAAGTTCTACAGAAACAAGTTGAAGTACCTGGGCTTTCTCCGCAAGCGGATGAACACCTTCTGGAGGCCCTGCCATTTCTCGGCCCTAGCCGCATCTTCTGGTGGATGGTGCAAGGCCCACTGCCCCACAAGACTCACCAAGGCCAGGCCGCCCTCAACCACCTCAAGGTGTCTGACGGCATTCCACCGCCCCATGACAAGAAAAAGCTTTGGTGGTTCCTGCTGCCCTCAAGCTTGTGTGTCTGAAGCCTACAAGAAAATTTGTCCGCCTGGACACCGAGCTTATGAAGTTAGCTGGAAGTACCAGGCAGTGACAGCCACCCTGAAGAAGAGGAAGGAGAAGGCCAAGATCCACTACCAGAAGAAGAAACAGCTTATGAGGCTACAGAAATAGGTGGAAAAGAACATGAAAAAGAAAACTGACAAATACACACAGGTCTCCTCAAGATCCATGGACTTCTGGTCTGAGCCTAATAAAGACTGTTTGTTTATTCCTCAAAAACAAACAAACAAAAAAAAACCCTCTGTATTATAAATTATTCTGTGTAATGGTGTGTTACCATACATTTCTCTACAACTCTGCATTTTCAGTAATCTCACATTGACAGTTTAAAATTGGCCATGGTGAGAATATTTACACTGCAGAAATCAGCAAATGATGTAAATCAAGGCTTTTTTGCCTGGACTTGCAGCACATCCATGTCCCATTGGACCCTATTATGACGGGAGAGTTTTAACATGGTACTGAAGCAAAAATGTAAATGTAAATGTACACTTATATCCATACCTGTAAATTCAAACTGCCTTTGGTCTTTCTTCCTGATAGTATTTGAAAAGAACACATTCAGCCAGGCACGGTGGCTCACGTCTGTAATCCCAGCATTTTGGGAGGCTGAGGCAGGCAGATCACGAGGTCAGGAGTTAAAGACCAGTCTGATCAATATGGTGAAACCCTGTCTCTACTAAAAATACAAAAATTAGCCAGGCGTGGTGGCATTTGCCTGTAGTCCCAGCTACTCAGGAGGCTGAGGCAGGAGAATCGCTCGAACCCGGGAGGGGGAGGTTGCAGTGAGCCAAGATCATGCCATTGCACTCCAGCCTGGGCAACAGTGAGATTCCATCTCAAAAAGAAAAGAAAAGAACACATTATTCACCAGATTAATAGCCATATAACATGGACCTGAAACCGTGCTAATCAGGCACAACAGCTGTAATTACAGCTATTTCTTGGTTGAGTTTGTGCTAGTCTGGTCATCTTTCAAGTTGCATCTGATATTTGTAGTGACCAGACTGGTGAATTAAATGTGAAATATGATAGAAACAAACCCCCGCACCCTTTAAAGGTGGCCTCAATCAGCCATTTCCCTTGAATTGTGATATTGTTCTTGATTCACTGTCTTTGCGGTAAGAGGTGTAGATTCAGGGCTTCCACTTCAATCTGTAGCTCGTACTCCACAGACTAAAGAACTATGTGGGGATTCTGCCAATGGCCAAGCATGTGCATTCCAGTTACAGATTTAGAGACTGCAGAAATGACTACTGGGTAGATCCATGGACCTAGTACATGCCATTTATTAGCTGATCTCATAGGCTCCCTTTCTAATGGAAGAGAAGCATAACGATTCAGTTATATGAAGATTGGCTAAATGTTCTAAGTACTCTCCAAACCCAGAGCTTTATAATTCTCTGTTACTACAGTGTGCTCCATCTCAGAATAACTAAATAGAAAAGGAGGAAGCTGAGAACTTTAAAAACTGAGGTCCTGAATAGATGAATCATAAGCCTGAGAGGACTATCAGGATGCCCGGGACTCACTGGAGGTGGGAGTAGAGACACTGTCCTTTTTCTTCCTGTTGACAGAAAGAAGCAATGAGTGACCTCTTTTACCTACCACAGTGATGACTATTGTTGGCATATTTCCTATAGATATTCCCCTGCCCCTTTTACCATAATTTGTGGCTAATGAATTGTCTGTGGGCTATGGACCCTAGAGTCTCAGCAGAATTAATGAGCTCTTTCCCTCCGTGGGATCCCTCTACCACCATACCATGTCAACATTTCTACCTCCAATGCCACTAAAACAGAGGCACACCTCTGCCTAGACTGAGGGGGAAAATTGTTGGCAAAGAACTCAATGGCAAAGAACTCGATGGCAAAGAACTCGATGGCAAAGAACTCAATGGCAAAGTTCTGACCTTGGCTTCATCCTCCCTGCAGAGATTTGGTGGGCTTTGGTTGGTGCAAACCCTCTACAGTTAGCAGATTTGGGTTCAAACATCAGCTCTGGTGCTTACTAACTATACTGCCTTGGGAAAGTTATTTATATTTCTTTGTTTCAACTTCTTCATATTGGAAGGAAGAGAATAATATGTAGAGTTGTGAAGGATAATCAGCAGTGTAGAGTAAATGTTTAATAAACAACTTGGTTGGTGGCAGATGGGGAGAGCCCTAATTTGTAGTGTTTGCCAATTTTCATAGTGTAAATATTCCTGCCATGGCTGTCTCAAGCCACTGATGGTTTAATAACTGTCTCACAAAATTCCTAAAAATTTACTAATCAAGAGATAATCTGAGCCAGCTCCAGCTCATCACACACATGTGTGCTTAGAAAAGTGCCAGATGGTCAGCATTAGCAATCCCTATTGTGACCAGAGATGCAGTTGCCCATTCAAGGATGCCCATTCCTTTTTATTTTTTTGTTTCTTCCTGATGTACAAGTGGAGGCTGGGCACCAGTTAAGAGCTCTGTCATGGGGAATTGCTGGTACCAGAAGAGATTTTTATTTGATTGAAGGTAAGCAGAACCTTTGCTCTTTGGCTGTGAGATATCAGTTTCCGCCTATCCTCAACACTGGAGGACCAGATTTGGAGTTAAACTTACTCTAAAATCCTAGTCCTAGCACTTATTGACTAGGTAACCTTCTACAAGTCTCTTGTCCCGTCTGTGACTGTTCACTTTTTGGTAAAATTGGGATAATTTTATCTCTTTGTAGGGTCACTGTGAGAACCAGATGTTCAGGGAGTTGTTTATCACCATGCTTTGATGGTAGCTACTAACAGCAAGGGTAGCTCATGGTCACTAGACTATCATAAACCCCTTTCAAAGGACCTCCCAACTCCTTCCCCAGCTCCTAACACAATGCTGGCACTTTGGGGCTCAAGAAATGAATAAATGCGTAGACCAATGCATGAATATTTCAGAAGGAAAAGGAGTAGGAGAAAAATAATGAGAGTGGAAAAGACAGAGAACAAAGAGGGAAAGGGAAACAGTCACTAAGAAAGGTGTAATCTAAAGAGATTCAGCGATATAGCAGAGAAAGGAAAGGAATGAAATGCCAAGATAATGACAAAGTTAGAAATGTAGAAAATTAATTAGGATGACACATGATGGATAAATAAGAAACAATTGGCTATTGTTTAAGGTTACATGCAAAGAATTTTATATTACAAAGAAAACAAAGGAGGGGGCGGCAGCCAATGAGCATGAGGTTTCTTTTGGGAGTAATGAAATATTCTGGAAGTAAATGGTGTTGGTTGCACAACTTGTGAATATACTTTAAACCACTAAATTACACACTTCAAAAGGGCGAATTTTATGGTACGTTAAATACATCTCAAAAAATGAAAGCGAAGGCATAATTAAAAATTTAGAGGCCAGGCACAGTGACTCATGCCTGTAATCCCAGCACTTTGGGAGGCCGAGGCAGGCAGATCACCTGAGGTCAGGAGTCTGAGACCAGCCTGGCCAACATGGCGAAACCCCGTCTCTACTAAAAATACAAAAATTAGCTAGGCATGGTCTTGAGTGCCTGTAATCCCCGCTACTTGGGAGGCTGAGGCAGGAGAATAGCTTGAGCCCAGGAGGTGGAAGTTGCAGTGAGCAGAGATCGTGCCATTGCACTCCAGCCTGGGCTATAAAACGTGACTCTAAAAAAAAAAAAAAAAAAAAAAAATTAGAATGGTGGTGACATCTTGAGGGGTGACAAATTGAGAAAATTGAGAGATCAGGGAGGGGCACACAGAAGCTTCTAAGATACTTGAAACATTTGCTCAGTTCCTTAACCTAGTTGTTTAAATATGTAACAATATTTTGAAAATTAAAAATATATTTTAAGTGAGAAAAGAATAATGGGAAAAACAGGAAGAAGACAGAGACAATGGCAGAGAGTCCTGGCAAAAAGGGAGATGTGATAGAGCTTAATACAAGATGGGGACCCTGTAAGAGGAAGACATTCCTGCCATCCTCTGAGCTCCATGGCACGTTTGTGGTGTGGCCCACCATCTCATCTCCTCCCCTCATGGCCTTCCTAAGGTCCTGTAAGACCCTGAGTCCTTGTCTCTGACCTGCCAGAGTGGCTTCAGTCTCCCACCCCCAGCCCTCAACTGACCTTCTATGCCCCAATACATCTCTATTTTAAGGAAAAAGTCCAGTCACCTCCTCTAGGAAGCTTTCCCTGATATACCCAACCAAATTGGTCAGTCATCCTACAGAACCTTTACTCTCATTCACCCAGTACATTGGTGTTACTG
Organism: Homo sapiens; assembly: GCF_000001405.40. Taxonomy (NCBI): domain Eukaryota; kingdom Metazoa; phylum Chordata; class Mammalia; order Primates; family Hominidae; genus Homo; species Homo sapiens. Next base: position 852,636 of record NT_167245.2, read on the forward strand.
GCCTTTAAATTTTGGACTCTCTTTTTGGTGGTGTCTGAAAGACTACAAGATTTAGGGAGAGTGATTCTTGGAGTCTTTCGATAATGTTCCTGTGAACCCTGGTGATTTTAACATGCTTGTGGCCACTCTTGCCTCCTACTTGTAAGCTACTCATGGCAAGGACGAAGCATGTGGACCAATTTCCACCCCTCCCTGAAAGTCAGTTGGTTCAGAAACTTAGGTTGCTAAAAAGGCCAGGGCAACCAACCTGATCTCTCTATAAGTAGGGATATCTTAAAACAAAACAAAATCTCTCTCATAGATAAAACACTGTCTCTGATAAGCTTACTTGCAAATGAAAAAATACAAAATAAATGGAATGTACAGAGTTCTATAAAATTCATTCAACCAATAGAGCAATAATTGAGCCTACAGAGACAACTTATCAGAAAATTCATTCAATATACCTTACGAGATCATCCAATAGATAAGAGACAACTCTAGAACAGCATTCAGAACATAGTGGCACTCAATAAATTTCCCCTGAATGAATGAATTAATGAATTAGTGCATATTTTAATCAGCCTCCTTTGCCCTCACCCAGGAAGTCAGAGGCACCAGTGTGAGTATCCATCTGCTGTCCAGTACATTCATGGATTCCTCACTCTCACTAGACAATGTTTGACCAGGAAGAACAGGGAATGAGAAGGAGCTGCTGGATGGTGATGAGCCTTGGAAAGGGAGGCTGGGCGAGCAGAGACAGAAGAGAAACACCTACCTGCTGTGACCTCACAAACACCCAGGCTGAGTTTTGATAAGACAGGTTGAATCACACTGGGGTGACAGCCTCATCCCTCCAGGTACAAACAAGAACAGGCCATGGTTAACCAAAGCTCCACACCGGGCTTCCTCCTTCTGGGCTTCTCTGAACACCCAGGGCTGGAAAGGACTCTCTTCGTGGTTGTCCTCACTTCCTACCTCCTAACCCTAGTGGGCAACACACTCATCATCCTGCTGTCTGCGCTGGACCCCAAGCTCCACTCTCCAATGTACTTTTTCCTCTCCAACCTCTCCTTCTTGGACCTCTGTTTCACCACGAGTTGTGTTCCCCAAATGCTGGTCAACCTCTGGGGCCCAAAGAAGACCATCAGCTTCCTGGACTGCTCTGTCCAGATCTTCATCTTCCTGTCCCTGGGGACAACTGAGTGCATCCTCTTGACAGTGATGGCTTTTGATCGCTACGTGGCTGTCTGCCAGCCCCTCCACTATGCCACCATCATCCACCCCCGCCTGTGCTGGCAGCTGGCATCTGTGGCCTGGGTCATTGGGCTAGTGGAGTCAGTGGTCCAGACACCATCCACCCTGCACCTGCCCTTCTGCCCCGATCGGCAGGTGGATGATTTTGTCTGTGAGGTCCCAGCTCTAATTCGACTCTCCTGTGAAGACACCTCCTACAATGAGATCCAGGTGGCTGTTGCCAGTGTCTTCATCTTGGTTGTGCCTCTCAGCCTCATCCTTGTCTCTTACGGAGCCATTACCTGGGCAGTGCTGAGGATTAACTCTGCAAAAGGGCGGAGGAAAGCTTTTGGGACCTGCTCCTCCCATCTCACTGTGGTCACCCTCTTCTACAGCTCAGTCATTGCTGTCTACCTCCAGCCCAAAAATCCCTATGCCCAAGAGAGGGGCAAGTTCTTTGGTCTCTTCTATGCAGTGGGCACTCCTTCACTTAACCCTCTCATATACACCCTGAGGAACAAGGAGGTAACCAGGGCATTCAGGAGATTGCTGGGGAAGGAAATGGGGCTCACACAAAGCTGAGGGAGAGCTGCTTAATGTGCTTTAAAAGAGAGGAGATTCTATGTGCTTTTATCAGAAAGTTTGAGTTCCCTGCCCCTCTGCCTTCTTCACACCCATTACATTGTGGGAATGGATGAAAGCCACATGTCTGTGTGTGTGCATGTATGTGTGCAAGAGACAGCGACTGAAATGTAGTAAAGGGAGGTATCTTTATGCGAAAAATTATAGGCATCAAGTATATTTTATATTTTTTTCTACTTTAAGTCTTCGCCTCCATAGTCATGTTCCTACCTTTATCACTTCCATTTTTAATTCCCCTCCCTTGCCATATCCCCACTATTCCTTCACCTCCAATTCTAATTCCTACCATATCTTCTTTGCTTCTCCCTCATGTTTTTCCCACTTCACTATATGTCTGTTTTGTATTCTCATTCTATTTTATTCCTCAAATAACAGCAAAAGAGAAGGGGAAGCTGAAGCCCAGCTAAGTTCGGAAACTCACCCAAGAACACACAGTGTCCACAGCATCAGAACTAAAATCCAGGCCCCATAATTTTCAGTCAGGCAACTCTCAAATACACACTGTTGCTTTCACACCATAATCAAATATCCCAGTATTTCAGGCTTGAGCCTTACAAAGGAAACTTAGCTTCTTCAGTCCTATTTCTTCTCTTACAATGCCCACAAATCGCAGGTAAAGGAGCAGCCAAAAAGACACAAAAATATCTTCATGTTTAGGCTGGCACATTGTGGACCTTGGTGTCATCTACCGGCCAAATATGGTATTGCATGTGACATCCCAGACTTCTGCTCCAGGGTCATCCGAACTGTACTTTGCTCAAAGACATAGATATGGTTATGATACTATAAGCATTTATGTAATTGTTATGTTAACCCAAGTAACACTTAAAGTACAGATGCTCCTTGACTTATAATGATGTTACCTCCCAAAAAACCTATCATATACTGAAAATATTGTAAGTTGAATATGCATTTCATACACCTAACCTACCAAACATCATAGCTTAGCCTAGCCTACCTTAAACATACTCAGAACACTTACATTAGCCTACAGTTCAGCAAAATCCTCAATACAAAGTCTATTTTATAATAAAGTTTTGAATATCTCATGTAATTTACTGAATACTGTACTAAAAGTGAAAAAACAGAATGGTTATATTGGTACTCAAAGTACGGTTTCTACTGAATGTATCTCTTTTGCATTATTATAAAGTCAAAAAATGGTCAAAGTCAGGAACCCCCTGCAATTTACACATATTGACTTATTTAACCCTTATAACAACACTATGAAGCAGATAATATTATTATCCTTTTTCAGAGGTAAAAACTAAAACACAGAATTTATGTTACCACTTGCAAATGTGCAAGACAGGATTTGAACCCAGGAAAACTGGCTCCAGACTCCTTGCTCTTAACCTTGCCTTTTGGTAAAAATAATGCCTCCCAGGCCCAGGTGAAAAGCTTCAACTTCTCAACAAGCTTTGAGGAAATCATTTCAATCTAAAACTATATCTAAATGATCCCCCAGCCGAAGGGGTTTCACTTCCTTAAAATAAGAGTTTTTCAAATACTTCAAAGCATAAGAAACAACAGAACAATAAAACTTTTGGAAAAAGTTGTGTTACAGTTCATTGTGTGTGTGTTTCTGGCTTAGTTCACCCACTAGATTTCAGGCTCTCAGAAGGCAAGGACCAGAATTTTGCATAAAATTGGCACCCAGTTTTATAAATGTATAAGTGAATGAATGAATGAATGAATGAATCTTACTCTCCAAAGAGAATATATAAAAGGTTCTCGGGTTCCAATCCCACATACGCTGTCTCCCAGCTTTTCCCTGGCAAGGGCAGCAATACCAAATTCCCTTTTGAGTACACGCCGATAAAATAAGAAAAAGGAAAATCTTAGTTTTATTTCTAGTTCCAACATAAAATGATTTTGATTCAACATTTATCCTGGCATCAGCACAGAACAGCAACATTAATTCTATTATAATCCTAATCTTTATCCTAGCCATCCTTGTGTTAATCTTATTGTCTCCTTGACCTCGTTATTAGAGCATATTCTAATCTTAATGTAGAGCCCCCATTTTATATTTAATAATCCTAATCAGTCAGGCGCAGTGGCTCACACCTATAATCCCAGCACTTTAGGAGGCCAAGGCGGGCGGATCACGAGGTCAGGAGTTCGAGACCAGCCTGACCAACATGGTGAAACCCTGTCTCTACTAAAAATACAAAAAAAAAACTAGCCTGGCGTGGTGGCGTGCTCCTGTAATCCCAGCTACTTAGGAGGCTAAGGCAGGAGAACCTGGGAGGCGGAGGTTGCAGTGAGCCGAGATCATGCCACTGCACTCCAGCCAGGGCGACACAGTGAGACTCTATCTCAAATAATCATAATCATAATCATAATCTCAGCCCTACAGGTAAGGCTAAGCTTAATTCCACTTTTCAAATCACTGTAGTAAGACCTTTTTTTCATGACCCCCTCTATCTGCTTTCTCTTACTGGCACCTAGAAATGTCTACACTTTTCTCCTGTTTATCATCTCCCTACAGCCAGAGGCTATAATGTTTGTATATAGTAAAATCGTTTCTAGACTGACTCTAGGGGAAATGCAACAGAGAATTAAATAAAGCAGTCTAAAAGAATCTGCTTTGTTGAATAAATGGTTTAACATAGGACTTAGGACTAACATCTCTTATCCTAAATTCATTGTTTCCATGTGACAGTCATCTATTGGATACTCTGTGAGAAAATCCAATATAAAGTTACTCAGTCACAACCCCCACAATGTCCAGTGAAAATAGGGATGGTCAGGCACATAGTGCCAGCATACATGACAGTTACACAACTGAATTGGAGCAAATAAGAGTCTACAGGAATACAGAATTAAAGAATAATGTGTGTGAGTGCTTGGAGCGGCAGTGATCATGGAAGCCTCTTAGAGGTTTGAACCACAGAAGAGTAAACAAAATAAGAAGTATTTGCTGACTGTGTAGAAATGAGATGATGCAAAGACCCCCTTTTTAGGGGCTTGGGGACTCCTAAGCATGGAAATAAAGCAAAATCCTGTGTTTCTTCAAGGAAAATTCCAGGCACCTAGCTGGCTCTGAGAAATAAGTAGCAACTTGAAAAGCAACAAGGTAATAGCAGCCTAAGACAATAGCCAAGGAAGTTAAGCGTTCTGAATAGGTTTGCTTTCCTCATAGAAACTAAAGATAACCTCTTAACATATGTCTCTGCGTTGTCTCTCAGAAACTCGGAACCCCACCAAATGAATCTGCTGGCATAGACCTCAGAGGACAGGAAAATGACTGAACTTTATAACCATCATCCTTTGTTCTAAGTTTCTTCCTGAGGAGCTTGGAGAAAGTAACACCTTCTAGGCAGTTAACATTTTTCTACTGGACCCCAAATTTTTAAACAAAGGTTCTCTTCCTTAACTAATTGCAAATTTGGGGTTTTTTTGTTTTTGTTTGAGACAGGCTTTTGCTCTGTTACTTAGGCCAGAATGCAGTTGCAGTCGTAGCTCACTGCAGCTTAACCACCCAGGCTCAAGCAATTCTCCTGCCTCAGCCTCTAATTAAAAAAAATTTTGTGTGTGTAGATACAGAGTCTTGTTATGTTTCGCAGGCTGGTCTCAAACTCTTGGCCTTAAGGGATCCTCTCTCCTTGGCCTCCCAAAGTGCTGGGATTACAAGCATGACCCACACCTGGCCAGAAAAATCTTTGAATCTACCTATAACCTGTAAGTCCCTGATTCAAGATATCCCACCCTTTTAGATCAAAACCAATGTGGAGGCCGGGCACGGTGGCTCACAGCTGTAATCCCAGCCCTTTGGGAAGCAATGTGGGCGGATCATGAGGTCAGATCAAGACCATCCTGGCTAACACGGTGAAACCCCATCTCTACAAAAAATACAAAAAAAAAAATTAGCCAGGCGTGGTGGTGGGTGCCTATAGTCCTAGCTACTCGGGAGGCTGAGGCAGGAGAATGGCATGATCCTGGGAGGCAGAGCTTGCAGTGAGCCAAGATCACACAGCTGCACTCCAGCCTGGGCAACCGAGCAAGACTCCATCTCAAAAAAAAATGTGGAACCTCTATGCACTGATTTCCAATGTTCCTTGTAGCTTCTGCTTTTCTGAAATTTACCCCTGCCTTTTTTTGTTTCCTGTTTTTTGAGACAGGGTCTTGCCGTGTTGTCCAGGCTGGAGTGCAGTGGCATAATCATGGCTCAGTGCAGCCTCAACCTCCTGGATTCAAGGGATCCTCTCACCTCAGCCTTCTGAGTGGCTGGGAGTACAGGCATATGCCACCATATTTGGCTAATTTTTTTATTTCTTGTAGAGTTGGGGTCTCACTTTGTTGCCCAGGCTGTTCTTGAACTCCTAGGTTCAAGTGATCTTCCTGCCTCAGCCTCTCAAAGTGCTGGGATTACAGGTGTGAGCCACTGCACACTGCCTTACCCCTGCCTTTAAAAACCCATGTTACAATAGTTAGTCAGACACGAGCAGGGCAGGAAAGGGCCTCCTTCCCCACCAGGAATGTCAGGCAACCATCAGGTGATAGGCGGTTGTTAAGCTGTCTCTCTAAAATAATCATTGGTCACAGCCTGTGCCAGGGAAAAACAGTCTCCCAATAAATAGAAAAACCTGAAACTAAGATCTCAGGAGTTGGGCAAGTGGGCTCATGCATGGGCACTAAGGGAGAAATGACAGCATTTAACTGGTTTATAACCTTATAGGAACACTCCCTGGTAAGGGAAGAATGCCTCAAGTCAGCATGCATACTACTCCAGTAAACATACCGTGCATGCAGCCCCTCCCAAGCACTAGCAGGCCACTGTACATGCAGACAGCCCACCCCAAGGGAAGATTCAGGGGAGAAGGGACCCTGGAACCCTGCCAACATATAAAACCCTAAGTCAAGGTCAAAACCACGCACTTGATCTCTCAAGTTGCCTGCTTGGCCCCCTTCCAAGTTGGCTTTACTTTATTTTGTTCCTGCTGTAAAGCTTTTTAATAAACTTTTACTCCTGTTCTAAAATTTGCTTCGGTCTCTTACTCTGCTTTATGCCCCTCAGTCAGATTCTTTCTTCTGAGGAGGCAAAAATTGAGGTTGCTGCAGACCTGTACAGATTCGCAGCTGCTAACATATTTTCATGCCATGTAACTCTGATACATTCTGCCGCTAATACCCTTGCCTGCAAGACATCAGGGAGGCCAGGACTTGAGTGTTTAGCTGCCTGGTCCTCCCTGCGTAGTGTCCTGCAACAAATGCCTTTCTTTCTATTGGTGCAATCCTTGGTGTAAGTATCTGGTTTTATTGCACCAGGCAAGCAGACCCCAGTTTGGTTCTATAACAGAAAAGGCTAAAGACAAAAATAAGCATGTTGTGCATTAAGATAGGGAGATGTGGGGGAAGGAGTTACACCGAGGAGCAAAATGATTAAGCAGGAAGGTAGAGATTATTTCAGAAAGATACAGAAGCTACTGAATTGAATACAACCAGAAAAAAAAAAAAAAAAAAGGATCCCTTACAGATGTTTCAAACCTACATGATTTAGGTCTCCTGAGGGCAGGCACTTAACTATTCATTCTAACATGACATGTGAGTTGGAAGCCTTAAAGGAACATTATTCAAGAACCTCGTCTCTACTAAAAATATGAAGTCTCTAATAAAAATTAAAAAGTCTCTACTAAAAATACAAATAATAATAATAATAATAATAGCCAGGGCTGGTGGCAGGTGCCTGTAAACCCCTTGCTTGGGAAGCTGAGGTAGGAGAACCACTTGAACCCAGGAGGCGGAGGTTTCGGTGAACCGAGATCACGCCACTGCATTCCAGCCTGGGAGTTAGAGTGAGACTCCATCTCAAAAAAATAATAATAAAATAAAATAAACCTCAAACGTCTGAAGGGCTCACCGAATCATGAATAGATGCTTATGTGTAGGGCCCAGCCCTGTCTTATCCTTCTATCTCCCAGGGAAGGGGAAACCTTCTGGCTCCTCCTATGCAGAATTAATCGCTCACCCTTGAAGGGTACCAGTATATGCCACCTCAAACTATCTTTAGCATGTGGATTATTTTGAGCTAACAATTGAAAATCATCAGACTAGTGAATGCTGTAAAACAGGATACAAGTTTTCCTTTTGTAAATAAATTCACATCTGTAAAGGTACAACTCTTACTAATGGAGAAGACATCAGTTTAAATCTACATAACAAACCTTTTCTATCTGTAAAGGTACAACTCTACTAATGGAGAAGACAGTTTAAATCCACATAACAAACCTTACTAAACCACTTTGTTCCATATTTTCCTGGTCACTTTCCCATAACTTGCCTGCCCATCTACCACTCACCCAGAAGCCCCAAACTCCTTTTCCTTTACCTAGCCAAGATGTTATACAGTTGCTAAGAACAACACGATTTGAACTCCATGGATTCACTCACACATGATTTTTTTCAGTAAGTATATTGAAAATTTTTGGAGATTTGTGACAATTTGAAAAAACTCACAAACCACATAGCTTAGAAGCACTGGAAAAATTAATGGGCCAGGTGCTGTGGCACATGCCTGTAATCTCAGAACTTTGGGAGGCCAAGATGGATGCATTGCTTGAGCTCAGGAGTTGGAGACCAGCCTGGGTAACATGGGGAAACCCCATCTCTGCAAAAAAAAAAAAAATTAACTGGGCATGGTGGCACGCACCTGTAGTCCCAGTTACTAGGGAGGCTGAGGTGGGAGGATCTCTTGAGCCCAGGTGGTTGAGGCTGCAGTGAGCTGTGATTGCACCACCTCACTCCAGCCTCAATTAAAAAAATAAATAGGGCTGGGCACGGTGGCTCACGCCTGTAATCCCAGCACTTTGGGAGGCCGAGGCAGGTGAATCACGAGGTCAGGCAATCGAGACCATCCTGGCTAACACGGTGAAACCCCGTCTCTACTTAAAAAATACAAAAAATTAGCCAGGCGTGGTGGCACACACCTGTGATCTCAGCTACTTGGGAGGCTGAGGCAGGAGAAACGCTTAAACTCAGGAGGCGGAGGTTGCAGTGAGCCGAGATGGTGCCACTGCACTCCAACCTGGGCGACAAAGACTCCATCTCAAATAAATAAATAAATAAATAAGAGAAAAGTATGTCATGTGTAAACCAAAAATAAAATTCTAAGCCCCCTAACTGACAGGAAGAAAGGTAAGACATGCCAATGATACCCTCCTTCCTCTGGAGTTTAGGGACAACTGACCAGCATTAACATTACAATAGAGATCATAAGACTGACAAAAGATTCTCTGTAGCAATAAAATAGTCAACTCCAACCTGACTCTGATACAGCATCACACCACAGATAGCAGGCCCTGAAGGAAATCAAAGTATTTTACCCCAAAATATACTTATTTGACATTTTGAAATGACTCTGCAAAGCCATTTCTTGTCATGGGGATTTGCATTTTGTAGAGAATCCCCTTCCCCTTCCAGGTCTTTTTCTGATCCAGGAGGGATTTTACTAATGAGTCTGACATCTTTTAAGGTGCGATAAGAAACATTTACCATCTATTCTTTCTGAGGCCTGGAAGCTTCATCTACGTAACAAGAATCTTTGCTTCCACAAACATCTCCCCCAACGCCACCTCCACGCCCCCTTAACTCAAGCATTTCTTTCTGCTGACTTCAACTCTTTAGGCAGGGCTTAACTTTTTCAACCAATTGGCAATCAGAAAATCTGAATCCCCCTATGACCTGTGAGCTCCCTTGCTTCGAGATGTCCCGCCTTTCTGAGCTGAACCAATATATACCTTACATGTATTGATTTATGTCTTTGTCAGCAACTTCTGGCTCCCTAAAATGTATGAAACCAAGCTGTAACCCAACCACCTTGGGCACATGTTCTCAGGAACTCCTCAGAATGGCTCAGAATAAACCTCTTCAAATATTTTACAAATTTTACTTTTTTCATCAACAAATAAATGTATAAAATATATGTAGATACTACCAAAAAATATACACAAATCTACTATAAAAACCAAAAATTTGGCCAGGCACTTAGGGAGGCTAGGTGGGCAGATTGCTTGAATCCAGGAGTTCATGACCAATCCGAGCAATATGGTAAAACCCCATCTCTACTAAAAATACAAAAAATTTGTCCGGCATGGTGGCATGTATCTGCAGTCCCAGCTACCCAGGAGGCTGAGGTAGGAGGATCACCTGAGCCTAGGAGGTTGAGGCTGAAGTGAGCCAAGATCACGCCACTGCACTCCAGCCTGGGCAACAGAGTGAGACCATGTCTCAAAAAATAAATAAAATTTATCAAAACTTACGCACACACTTACAGACCATACATAAGCCACTCAAAGTCAAGAGAAAGCTTAACAAAAGATGCAGAATTAAATCATAACGGCATAAAATTAACTGTAGTGTATACTGTTCTACTGTAATTTGATAGCCACCTCCTCTTACTATTGCAAAGAGCTCAACTGTTGCAAGTATCTGCCTAAAATGCCAAGTGACACTAATCATCTCTGCATGAGCAGTTCATCTATCCAGTAAATTGTGTATAGCAGTAAAGAGTGGTCTCTCAAGATTCTTGCATATATTTCATCATGTCTAGAGCAATACTGTGAACCTTAAATAACACCATAGGGCCCATATGAAGTGCCAACAGTGATGCTGGAAGTTCTCCCAAGAAGCAAAGTCATGACTCTATAAAAAGTTGAATTGCTTGATATACACCATAGATCAAGGTCTGTTGCTGGGGTTGCTGCCATTTCAGACAGACGATTCATCATGTAAATGATGTAAACTTAAGGCATCAATAAATACAGTATAGTACCCTATATGTATTTTCCTTACAATTTTCTTGATAACATTTCCTTTTCTCTAGCTTACTTTATTATAAGAATACATATATAAGATGTATAGCATACAAAATATGTGTTGATCAACTGTTTACACTACTAGTAAGGCTTTCAGTCAACAGTAAGCTATTAGTAGCTAAGTTTGGAGAGAGTCAACAGTTATGTGCAGATTTTCGTTTGTGTGTGGGGTCAGTAACCCTAAACCCCAAGTTGTTCAAGGGGCAACTATATGAGCTCCAAATTCTTTTTTTTTTTTTTTTGAGTCAGAGTCTCGCTCTGTCAACCAGGATGGAGTGCAATGGCGCGATCTCTGCTCACTGCAACCTCCGCCTCCCAGGTTCAAGCAATTCTCCTGCCTTACCCTACCGAGTAGCTGGAATTACAGGTGCCTGCCACCACACCCGGCTAATTTTTGTATTTTTAGTAGAGACAGGGTTTCACCATGTTGCCCAGGCTGGTGTCAAACTCTTGACCTGAAGTGATCCCCCAGCTTCAGCCTCCCAAAGTGCTGGCATTACAGGCATGAGCCACCACACCCAGCCATGAGCCCAAATTCTAACTGCCCCTTTGCATTGTTCACCACTGGGTACTCCCATGTGTACATGCATGAAGCAAATGTTAATAAACTTCTATTTGTTTTTCTCTCATTAATCTGTCTTATGCCACTCTAATTTACACAGCCACGGCTGGAGAACCTAAGACAGGAAGAGGAAAAGGATTTTCTTTCCTACACTCCCTACACACACCTGGGGAATGCACTCTGCAGGCCACATGACGTTGCTTCTGCATCTGTCTCCCTAGCTTTGCTGCATCAGTCCCAGTGTCCAGCCCACACAGGCCTCAGTACATGTCCCTATCACAGCTGCTGCTGGTGCTGAACTCACCTTCCAGGAGAGTCTCCAGCATATCCTTCCACACTCCAGGGAGCCATGTAAGTGGATGCCATACTGGTTAAATATTTTGAGTAGCATCCCATTTGAGGGAAGCTGTCACTTAACATGAACCCACCATAAGGTGGCTAATGAATAGCACCTTTCTGCCTGCCTTCAAGTGACAGCCTCCCTTAACATGAAGCCTACCTTTTGGTAAGCTTCATGTCAAGTGATAGCTTCCCTCAAGGGCAAAGTCACAGAATTATCTGTTTCAAAAGCCTGAGTGGATAAACAAACTGTTGCCTATCCAGGGTGTCCTAAAACTACCAAGGACTGTGGGAGGAGCAATTGGCAGGACCATCTTCAACACTTCCCATTTTCTGCTGGGGTGAGATCACAGCTGGCCCCCAAGCATCCAGAGGAATCCAGGGCCTGGTAAGAGGCTGTATGACAGCAAATATACAAGGCTAGGGTGCTCAGCTCAGAGGGCGGACAAAGAACATGTTAAAGTGAAGTGAACACTGGCTTTGCAGCAGGCAGACCAGATGCAGCAGACTGCTTTTACCAAAGCAGCCTGCAACACACATTTGTCCCATTCCACATGTTCTCTTTACAGTGTGACTTACGCTCATCCCACCAACAGGTGAAGTGTTTCCTCTCCTGAACCTAGGCATGGCCTTGTGACTGCTTGGACCAGTGGAATATCTCAGAAGTGATGCTACGTGACTTTCAAGGCTTTGTCAGGGAAAAAAAAAATACAGCTTAAACCTGGCTGACTCTCTACAACTGCCTCCACTTGCCTTTGGAACTGTCATTAGGTCATGAGGAATACCAGGCCACATGGAAAGGTCATGTGTAGGGGTCTCAGCTGACAGCCAATACCTCCTTTAGATGCTGAGTGAAGGATCTTTTGGACAACAACCCTCAGACTTCAGATCTTCCAGATGCTGTGGAGCAGGGTGAACCCTCCCCACTGTACCCTATCTGAATTTCTAGCCCACAAAAACCATGATGGATAATAAATGATTATTGTTGTCTGAAGCCATTTAGGGTAACAGGTTTTGTGGCAATAGATAATAATATATGCAGTTTGAATACTGGCTTTGCTCCTTAGTTTTGTGACCCCAGAAAATGAACACACAGTCCCCTTGCTTTTAGATTTGTCCTTCACACCAGAGCTAATGGCTGTGAGATGCCCAACACTCCTGGTTGCTCTCTTAAGTGATCTCGTTTGTTTTTCTGCTTACTGGTCATCTTCCCACGTCGAGAAGGTACAACGCTTGAAAGCCATCTTACTCACCATTTTGCCTCAGTGCCAAAAAAAGCACCTGCCACAGCAACTCACCATCAACACTTGTTGAAGATCACCTAACTAATGTAGCAGCCAAGTGCACACAAAGTGCTCTCTACTGGTAGACAACCAACAGGAGGGCAGGGAGGCAACAGGCTAAGTCAGGGAAAAGCAGGGGACATGGAAGCCTGCAGGCAGTCTACATTCTAGGACATTCCAGAGTTAGAAAGTGATCTGAACCCTACCCAAAGGCAGGTCTGAAAGGCAAAGCCTGCCTCACAGTGCACAGGGAGCAAGTCCTCCCAGAACTGCCAAGCGGTAGCCTCTCCACCTGGCAACACATCTCCTTTGCACCCCTTGGGGTACAATTATATATTAATTATATATCATTGTGTGTGTGTATATGTATATATGTGTGTGTGTATGTGTGTGTATATCTCATTGTAATTATATATAATGTACTAATAATTAGTATTAGTGCTAATCAATAGCACCATTCACCCTGAAAAGACACTTTCAGAAATGAATACATGAAGTCTCATTGTAGATAAGCATTGACAGATGAACATTTGCAACTGATCTTAATCATCAGGAACATTAACTGTGAACTCAAATAAGTAGTTATCTCAAAATTGTTTTTCTTATTAGTAGGAGGCCTGTATGAAAAATAGTGCTCAGTCATGTTTTAAATTTGGCCAGTAAAAATCTTACAAGTTCTCTTCTAAGTACCTTTTTAATATTCTCAATCTCACTCCTTCCCACCCCTTTGCACTGGGCACTCTGCTAGCCGCACCGTTTGGCTCTCGACTCCTGCACTCCTGCTAGCAGAGTGTCTGGCTTACCTTTGGCCACAGTAGAACTTTTCACCCTTTGTTTATAATTTACAGCCCACTTAAGTGCAATGCAAGTTTGAGATGATAATTTGGGTCTTTTAGGTTCTACCCAGGGCTGTTCTATAGCTCCTGCTACTGTTGTTTCTTTTTTTTTTTTCTTTTTTTTTTTTTTTGAGACAGTCTCACTCTGTCGCCCAGGCTGGAGTGCAGTGGCACAAACTCACTGCAACCTTCATCTCCTGGGTTCAAGCAATTATCTGCCTCAGCCTCCCGAGTAGCTGAGATTACAGGCACCCACCATCACGCCCAGCTAATTTTTGTATTTTTAGTAGAGACAGGGTTTCGCCATCTTGGCCAGGCTGGTCTTGAACTCCTGACCTCGTGATCCACCCACCTCAGCCTCCCAAAGTGCTGGGATTACAGGCGTGAGCCACCACACCCAGCCTCCTGCTGCTGTTCTGATGCCAACTATTCATTTTCCAAACTGCAGGCTTATCTACTCCATAGACTTCTTCTCTTTTCCTAGCGGATATTTCACTGTGGGAAGAAGAGAGACTCAAATTAAGTCCAACTGGTCCAAGGTGGATAATCACAGTGGAAAGTTTTTCAAGTACTGGTCTAAGATTCAACCAGCCCATGCTTTAGTGGAAGTTCAGAAATTGGCTCTTAACAGGTCAGTGAATGACAGGGCCCATCCAACCCTTGCAGCTGTCTTACAAAAATCTGAGAATCACTTTAAAAATCAGTGCCAAAATAAAAGAAAATTTGAGCTTCAAAAAAGCACTCTCCAAGATGACACAAAAAATGTTTAAAGTCTCAGGCAAATGTTTTTGCCCTTGTCCATTCAAGATTTTTTTTCAGTTTGATAGCAAATTATTTCCAAGATGCTCAGAGTTCCTAAACAAAGATGTTTAAGGTTGGAAGCACTCAGCAGCCATCTCATCCATTACCTTCTAGCAGTCATCATTCTTTTACTCTTCTTAGTTCCTGGGAAGGAGCGTCCCTAGAGGGGATGCTTAGGCACTTGCTCCAGGCTCCCAATACATGCCCACTACTGTCAAGGAACTCATTAAACAGCAGGGACAGAGGCTAACATTCACGCAACATATACCATGGCCCAAGGGCCAACCTAGGCACCTGAATGCACAATTTATAATAGTCTTTGTACCCAACCTATGGAGGAATGTATTACTGTTATTCTCATTTTCATAAATGAGGACATGGGGAATAGAGACTAAGAAAATGTTTGCATGTGGTTGGATCTGATACCCTGGCAGTCTGACTCCAGAGCCCACACTTTTAACCAGTAGTGTCCTCACTCACTAATCTCAGACTTAATCATGTCCTGCTTCATTCTGCTAAGCCCTCAATGGATCAATAAAACACCTCTTTTCACCCTCCGCTTTAATGCCTTTTCATGAACTTGGAGTCCTCTGAACCTCCCTTCTTGGATTGAAGCCCATTCTGTTCACAGGAAGACTGCAAGGTGCCGAGTCACACTGTTCACTGGTTTATTGAGATTCGGGGAGATCCTTCCCCAAGAGACACCACAGTGTGAAAGGGACACCACCTCCCACCCCATAGGTCCATCTGTCTATCCCAACAGTCAAGGGTGCCTTCCTTTGGTCAGGATTCTCATCAACTATCCACTGGAAGCAGCTCTCCAAACCTGCCCCCACTTATTTTTCCTTAATTCCCCTCAAAAAAACACAAAACAAAAGGGAGCAGTCTTGGGAGAAGATGATTGTGAGTGTAGACTGAGGGTAGTACATGAATGCAATGGAGATGGGGGGAATCTGAGCAGAAATGGAGATTCTGTGACAAGGAGAGGGTGTGGATGGCCCCACCAAACATGAATTGGGGAAAAGTGCATAACAATGTGCAGGGTAGGGTACATATGGCTCTGTCAGAAGAATACCATGATTTAAGGGAAGAAAGTACACAAGGTACATGGAGGGTACACAGGGAAAGTACATGGATAAACATGGACGTGTGCAAATAGGAAAGACATGACTCAGCATGCTAGACAAATTGCACATGCCTACCCAAACACGCTCAAGGGCAGACCCATGACCATGAGAGGGGCACACGTAGCTGTGAATGCAGGGCACCCGAGAGCACATGTGACTGAACATGAAGAAAGCATACGGGAAAAGCGTGTGTACACATGAGCATGTTCAGTGGGCACACGCAGGAGAGGGGAGGATGCATGTGTGCTGAGCGTGAGTGCACAGAGCAGAGGCAAGGAGCATGTGAGCCTTGGCGAAAAGAATGAGCTCCCAAAGGAAGCAAAATTCAGGGGGAGCCACATGTGAGAAAGTATAGAAGGGCAAGTAAGATGGAAAGAGATTATGACAGTGGAGAAAAGGAGAGGCCCCTTTGGGGTGGAAAGAGCACTTGTTGGGAGACCCCTGCTGGACAGGAACAGAGCACAAAGGCAGAGGAGCTGCAGGGGTTGCCGTGGTAACTAGAAGAGGGTGTTGCATGGGAAGAGAAAGATGCAGTGAGGCTGCTGAGGAGGCAGCGTGTGAGCAGTGAGCAGCTTCAAGCCAGGTACGAACTAAATTGTGAAGAGGTGATACAAAATTACATGAAGCAGTAAGAGAGAAAAAGGTCTGTTTCCCAGAGGTATGAGAGACCCAAATCAGCCCAGAACTCACAGGGGGACATGTATTTACAAGAGATGAGATTGGATAGCATGTTCTTCCCAGCTGGGGATGGGGACCCCCTGCTTCCTGAGTCCCCTGCCCTTCCCCTCTCCCTTTCCCTCCCCCTACTGGCCTGTCCTCCCTCACCCTACCCTCACTTATAAAGCAAATGCACTCGACTCCCATCACAGCTAAGCCGGTCGGGGGGCTCAGGGGGTCCCCTGGGCAGGCCCCCAGAGGGTTCTGGGGGTGTCGGTGGGTGGCGCCGGGAGCGGAGCTGCTGCCGAGACTGGAGTTGATGGCGCAGTTCAGAGACACGCTCCTCTTTCTGGAGGAAGAAGCACAATTGGGATAGTAGGAGAAGAGGAGGTGATGAAGGAGTGGGGAGGAGGGAAAGAGAGGAAGGGCACAGGGAAAGAGAGGAAGGGCACAGAAAAATGTAGGGGGAGGACGTAGGGTAAGTGGACAGAATAAATTAAAAGGAGAAATCAAAACAGAACAAGAAAAGCCAGAGAACATAAGGATACCGATAGAAAAAATGCGATCAGGGAAATAAGAGAGAATTTAAAAACAAAAGGAAAAAGTGGGGAAGGAGAGAAAAGTCAGTGCACAGAGCTTCCAATAAATCAGAGAGATGTGTCAACCCAGTTGGAACATCCCTCTCTTTGGCATTGCACCAGCCCCTAATGACAGCCTGGGGCACAGTGAACGCCTGCCCAGGTCCTTTATGCTGGGGCTGCATGCTACACCCAGCTGCTGTGAGTGTTGACTACTAGAGGCTCACAGCTGCCTCTCTCCAGTTGTCACCTACAGCCAACAGCCATCCTCTTGCCTTAAGGAGGCTGAGTCAACCACATAGCTCCCACTCCAGAGCCCTTCCACCTGCCAGGCCAACACTGGATTTTGCCTGAGATAGAATCTTGCTCAGCCCTTTCCCCTCCCCTATGCTGCTCCATTCACTCCTTACAGGTTGTCTCCTAGGACCCTCCCTCCATGAGCCAAGAACATCTGACCCTGTATCTCAGGCTTGGCTTCAGACAACCCAAGCTAAGACGCAAGCCTCCTGGACCACTCCAACACCCTACCCTGACACCCACCCCCGCACCTCAGCAATGATCTTTTCCAGTTCACGGTTCTCCTTCTCCAACAGCCGGGACTTCTCCTCCTCGTTGTTGTTGGTCGATGACCCTGTCTTCATGGTGTCCTGCGCCTCCGACTGCCATTCCCCTCGGGTGATCAGCCTGCGCATCTGGGGGCAAATGTTTGGGCGTGGGGTGGCCCAGCAAGGACTGTACTAGTGACTGGCTGATGGAAGGTTGGAGGTGGAAGGAATGCTGATAAGAGTTGGGCCCAAAACAAGGGGAGGAGTGAGAGGAGGGTGAACGGAAGGGCAGAGGAACTCAGTAATATAGGAAGGAGGGATGGAGGGAACATGGGAACAAAGAGGGTGGGAGAAAAGCCAGATCCTTACCTTGGGCACAAAGAGCACAACAAGAGTGATATAGGAGGAGAAAACTATGGCAAGAGAGGCAAAGGCAAAGGCTGCATCCTGCTGGCTGGACAGAATCATGGTGACAGGAGCAGTGATGAGGCACAGGACCTAGAGGGAAAGACACATTGAGGGAGTCTCAGGTCTGCAGGCTCAGACAAGATCCAGAGTTTACTTCCCATGGGAGGGAGTCTATGCAGACAGTTTCCTGGTGAACTTTCCCTTTGAAAAGGATCCAAATTCAGGATCATCCTCAAATATAGATTGAGAAAAATCTCAAACTGTCCCAAACCAGTTTTCACTCTTGGTTAACCCCTCCCCTCAAGGCAGGAACTCCCAGGATCTCTATGCACAGATTCCGGGTCCTCCAGAGTCGGTCCCTGGCAGGAAATGTCAATAGAGTCCAGCCCATTAACCACAGACAAGCAATTTAACGTCTCTGTGTTTCTGTTTCCTCACCTATAAAGTGGGGATACTAATATCTACTTCACTGGGTAGTTGCAAGATTAATGATACAATGTCTGTAGTGAGCTTTGTAAACTGTAAAGTGCTTTATAGACCTGAAGAATTAACAAACTTTTTAAGACTTCTAAGCAACCGATCCCAGATCTAGCATTGATTCTTCCTAGTCCTCTATATCTGGGCTGCTGTGGTCAGCCTACAGGGTCAATGCCATGGGGTCAGTGCTCACTGCCACATTGTAGATAGCCATGCCCACAGCCCGGTGATCATTGATCTTCTCAGTGGACACACTCTTGGTCTCATAAGCAAGGAAGATTCCCAGCAGCAGCAGCAGCCCCTTGTAACCATAGAAAATGCCTAGGATGGCAGGAGAGAGTCACTTGAGCAACAAGGACCACAATGCTCCTCACTCAATCCCCATCCCCTCTCTGCCCTTCACCTACTCTGAAATGGAAAGGGGGCCCTCCTCTCCAATCCAACCCCTCTGACCTAGCAAACCTCACCCTGTGTCCCCTATCCCTTATGTCCACCCAACTTGCCCAGACCACATCACTTTTTCCTGGGATTCACACAGGAAAGCAATGGTGGCAAGCTGCTGTCAGTCAGGCAAGGGCTTGTTGAATATCTAGAAATAGGCCAGTCTGGGCCACACATGCCTCACCCTTACCCTACAGGTGGGAAGGTGGCTTTCCAGGCAGAGGGTAGGTTTGCAATTTGTGACCATGAATCGAACAATGCTAATAAGGCCAAGGGGGATCTAAAAGATAATGTCAAGTCTGGAGGTGGGGTTACCCCCACTTGTTCCTCTGCTGAACACAAGTTCTTCATCTGTGCTTTCTGTGCTTTGGGCCCTAAGCTCCTCATAGCAAAAGAGCAACTCTCCCCTATTCTCAGAAAAGATTAGTGCAATAACAAAGAGTAGGGTGTTCAAACTGGGTTGACAAGCTCTCTACCTCCTCTTCCAAAGACCCCTCTCCCTCCAAGCCCTCTACCCCTGCCTTCCCTCCTGCCTTTGTGCATCCCTGCCCTCCTTTGCCCACATCCCACACACCAAGCCATGTATTCATCTTCCTGGAGCTGCAATGCTCCAGCTGGGGCAGAATAGAGACGTCAATATCTTCCTTAGGTTCCTCCTTGGCAAATGTCTAGGGCAGAAACAAGGTCACAAGAAAGATGGTTGCCAGCCTCCCCTCCTCTCCTCAACGCTTCTCAGTCTCTGGCTTCCAACTGTTTTCCTATGAGACCCTCAATGCTGATGCCAAATCTCATTCTAGGCCTAAGAATGTTTTCCTGAACCCTTGGAGGTGCTTGTTCCCCACTTTCCCTGATGCCTGGAAGTTCTACACACCCTTCCCAGATTCCCACCCCTTCCTTTCTTCAGCTGAATCTGGAGGCCTATGAGGGGCTCCTTCTAGGAAGGAAAGGAAGAGCTTCCAATACGAGGAAGGCACTCTCTCCAAGTAGCTTCATCCCTCAAGACACACACAGCCCCAGGGCCCTGATGGCCACTGAGCCCTGCTCATTCTCCTGACCATAGCACCTCCTCTCCAGTGGTACCTCAATGGTCCGGTGCAGAGGGTCCACGATCTGCCAGATGGCGAGAGTGAGGACATCCATGCCCACCAGCAGGCCCACTGTGGCATACAGCTTCCAGGGTTCCAGAGTCTGGATAAATATGTGGGGAGAACAGGCACGTCAGGGGAAAATGCTCTGTGCCCCAGGAGCCAAGGATCTGGGGGCTGAGGATTGGGCAGCAGCTCACCTTCCTCCACTCCTTCTTTTCTTCCTTCTTTGTGAAGACCGTGTGGACCCACCAAATCTTGGTGAACATGGAACCGTAGCCCAGACTAAAGCCCAGGCCCAGGAGCCAGAGGCGGGCCTAGAAAGGAAGAGAGGGCACAGGCAGAACAGGGTAGAGTAGTAGCCGGGACTGCAGTAAGGATGGGCAGAACCCTAAGGGAGAGTGGGCAGGGAGCACGGGCAGGGAGCTCATGGTGGCACAGGGAGGATGCGAAAATGTGAGCAGGACGGGGAGCGGCAGGAGGAGAGCAGTCTCCCCACCTTGAACAATTCCTCCCATCCACCCTCTACTTCCACACCACCAGGGTGATCTTGCTAAAACCTCCTGGCTTTAGTGGCCAAAAACCTCCAACCACTCCCCAATATCTATAAGTTATAGCCTGAACACTTCTGGATATGACACAGACCCTTCACAACATGCTCCCATCCACCTGTCCAGCTAGGCTCATCTCCCAGCCCCACACCTACCCCACGCTCCAGCCATGCTGAACTACTCACTTTCTCTTCATCTACTCTCTTTCATGTATTTTCTAGCCACACGATGCTCCCTATGCCCCTGAAGTAGCCTTCCTCTATTTCTCTAGCTGATAAAATCCTATTTGTCCTTCAGTATTCAAATGCCACCTCTTCAGTGAGGTCCACCCAATCACGCCAGCAGTGAACTGTGTTCCCTTCTTTGCCCCCAAAGCACTTTGTGCAGATCCCTACTCTGGAACCTCTCCTATTGCACTACAGCTAATTGTCTGCTTCTCCAGCTGCACTCTGGCCTCACTGGGAACAGAGGATTCCTGATGAACTGCATGTGCATGTGCATGGAAATGCCATGTGCACAGATGTATGATCAGGACAGCACAGAGCAGAGGAAAAAGAGAGAGCAAGGACAGGCAGGCAGATCAGGAGAAAGAGTGGGTGTTTCCACCAGTGGAAAAGAGAACCACTCAACTATCACTGTTGAAGCTGGCCTCTCCCCACAGCACTAGAACCTTCCATGTACCAACAGTCCCAGAGCCCCTCCTCCCTGTGTGGCAGTGGTCCCTTCCCCCCAACTCTCTGCTGTGTTTCCATCTCTGCTTCTATCCTTCCAAACCCAACAAAGGCTCCCAAAAAAAGTCCACAGTTCTGATTCTCAGCCCCCATACCACAGACAAGCCACCATTGTTCAGGAGACCTTTGAGCAGATCCCCTTCCTTTGCCTTCAATGGCTCCCTCCTCTTCTCTGCAAGGCCTGCCATGGCAACCTTGGAACTGACAAGTAAACTACAGAATGAAAATGGCCTGCAGACACAGAAAGAAGGGACAGAGCCAAACAGAGAACAGAGGGGTGATGCTAGAAGGAAAGAACAGGGACAAGAGTCAGGGAAAGCTGAGGAGGAAGGGCAGAGAATCATAAATCATGGAAGGTGCTCCTGAGACGGGTGGGAGAGTCACATCCTGTAAGGAATTTGCCCACCACCTCCTCACCTGGCAGACGAAAGGAAACTGGTTCCTCCCAATGTGGTAACCATCGAGCCCCAGGGGGAAGACAGCAGCTAAAGCCAGTGAGCAGCCCACAGCAGTCAGGTTGTTCAGGTTGGGCTGTGAGTTCTGGATATAACTAGGGCAGAGGTGGAGAGGGTGAGAGGGAGAGAGAATTACCCCTCTTCTCCAGGGAGGCTGAGCTCTCCAAATACCACGCAATGGCATGACCCTAATTTCAGGGCCAGGGGCTAAAGGAAGACAGGATTGGAGAAGACAGTGGAGCCTTGAGAGGCAGAGCAATGCAGTCATGGGGCTGAAGATGGAGTTGCAGAGGGCTTCCCAAGCACAGGCCCCCACTAGAATACAGGCTATTTATGTAGAGTCCAAGACTGTGAGACCTGGCCCCAAAGGTTGTTTTTTTCTCTTCTTTTCTTTTTTCCTCCCGTTAGCTACTTTGGAGTAGGAGTGGGGGTTATATCTGGTTTCCCTGTTTTCATTCTCAACAAGTCAGAATGAAAAACTCCATGATACATGGCCATGGGAGTTACACAGGTTTTATTCTCATCCTGTCCAGGAACATGATCAGTATCTCAGAGAGGCAGACAAGGAAAACGTCAGAAGAGAAACTTACCGGACATGTGAGTTGTAGATGTTAAAGGACAGACAGACAACAGCTAGGACAATGCCCAGGCTGGAGAGAACTGAGACGGAGATAAAGAGTTTCTGTGACAGGAAGCGGAATGTCTTGATGACCAGGGTCTGGTCAGCTGGGGGGGACCCTCCTGCATGGCACAGGGGAGGAAGAGGGGAAGGGAAAAGAGAAGGGAAGGAGGACAAAGGAATGAAGACGGGATAGGAGAAAAGGGCAAAGAACTAGATTGCTGATGGACATTCAGTCATTGGCTGGGGACATGAGGCCCTAACTGCACTGGACAGAGGTTACTGCAGGCAGAATGCTCAGTGCCACTGGGGCCGTTAGGAAGCAACCAGAAATGAGATGAGAAGATGGAGTGAATGGTCTATCCATAGGTTGGGAAATGCTGAGGCATGTCCCCAAAGTTGTAGTCTTTGTTTTTGTTTGTTCTTTAAGTTTTTCTGTCTTTCTTACAGCAAAGGAAAATGGGAGGAGAAAGAAGGGGATCATTAAAAAATGTTATAAGGTTTCTTATAACCCAAATCAAAGTTTTAAATGACAATTATGGAATCATAAAGCTAAAAAGGCCTTGAAGTATCTAGTGTGGACACCTATTCTTAAGACAAACAAAAAAAGAAGGAAAGCTAATCTGAAATTTTAATCCTGGCAGGGTAATATTCCCAAATATGTTTTCCAGTTATTATTAGGGGGAAGTTCAAATTTGTCAGAGTTCACCAAAAAAAACTAATTTCAATTTGCTTAGTTTTTTTTTTAAAGAATAATTTAGGCCATGCAGCATTTATAGCAATCCAGAACATTGTCCTAAATTCGAATTGTAAAAAAAAAAAAAAAAGGGCAAAACTCCAGCAGTGCTGGGAATGACTGGATATCTGCTGGGCAGGGCAGACGGCAGCCATCTTCAATGGTTGAGCCTCCCCTTCATTCTCAAGGAGGCTTTCTTTTATCAGTAGGTCCTTCCTTTTGTCCACCTTCAGTTTCTCTCCTATGTCCTATCATTTAGACCAAGTACACAAAGAATAACTGCTTGCTTTCTCTCTTTAAAAAGTATATTTTGAGGGATGTAATACTACCTATTAGGTACAAGGTGCACTGTTCGGGTGACAGGCACACTAAACGCCCGGACTTCACCACTATGCAATATATTCATGTAACACAACTGCACGTCTACCTCTAAATTACATAAAAATAGGAAAATTTTTAAAAATACATATAAAAATAAAAAGCACATTTTGGCAGATGACAATTACATGAGGTTTTCCCTCCTCCTCCATAGTTTAAGCAACCGTTTTCCTGACAGAGACAGACAAAGAGACAGCTCTGGGCTTGAAGTAGCTGGTTCAAATATATCAAGACACCAGGACATCTGGGAAACCCAAATGGAGTTTCCATTTCCCGCCCTCTGCCCACCCCCTGCCTCTAATCCCCAGTTACCCCAGCAATGCACCATTAAAAATAGTACTAACCACCGCCTATTCCCTCTCCAAATACACCAGTCTCCCCTACCCACGCCTTAGGGGTTGTATTCACTCTCACTTAACCCTTTCTCCTGGCCCAGCTGCCAGCCACATTCCAACCTAACAGTCTCTACCATTCCATCCTCACTCAAAGGCATGACTTTTTCCCTTGACTGTCGAGAGGGGCTGAAGGAAAATACAAACAAGATCCACTCACCAATCCATTTATCTGTTTTGGACCAGGAAAGATCATCCTTGGTGCTGTCATAGTAGCCAATCTTCTTGTAGCTGCCACCTGGGCAGACGACAATAAAAGGAGTGACCACAGGTAGCCAAAGAGCTGATCCTAGGCATTTTCAACTTCCCACTTCCCTAGAGCTTTGCATGGTTGTATCTGATTTTATTTTCACCTGAGGCCCTAAGGATGCTTGGAAGGACCTACGAGACTCTTGAATCAGCAACATGACTTAAAAGCAATATAAGGTGGTTCCCAAGACAACTCAAATAAATAAGAATATCTATGTTTAAAAGTCTTCAGTGAGGAGGCTCCACAACATGTCTGCCACCTATTCCATTCCTCACACCTCTCTCGGCGAGATGTCTCTCACTTTGATTTTGGCTTCTAAAGCTTTACACATATTTCTGCTTATTCTTCCTCTCATGATGGGCAGGCTCTATTTTCCCAGTGGCTTTCATTTTAATTTTAGAACATTCTCTTCTGTTGGCTTGGGTTTTAATTCCTTGGATAAGTTATATCTGCCTCTTAAAGCGCCATTGAGTAAAATTTGGTCATTTCTAAGATTTCTGTTCTAGAACTGTTTCCGTTACCATAACTTTTCCTTCAAAAGCCAACTCACACTCCTTTCACCATGGCTGAAGTCCATTTCCTCTTGTCCTGGATACAAAGAGGAGCTGAAAGGATGTGGAGGTGGGGAGAAAGGAAGAAAGAAACTTTTCACAGGAGGCCAAGAAATAGCTCTCTTGGCCATGCCGTAAAAGACTGAGAGCCGAGTGGAGCAGAAAAATTAACTCCTAGAAGTTCTGCAAATACCTGTGTGCTAAGTTTCAAGAAAATACAATCTACAAAAGCCAAGCTATACACATTGAAGCTTTACACAGCAAGGAAATTTGGCAGATTCCCTTAAAAAAAAAATAGCGGTTCTCCTAGATTCAGCTTTCTTGAGTCTAACTGACAGGTCATCAACCTCTCAACCCAAGCCACTCAAGGGGAAATTCCTGAAATTAATGGAAGCCACTGGGAAAGAGAGTAGCTGTTTTTAATTTGCATGTCTCTTTTCTTTTCTTTTTTCTTTGAGACAGAGTCTTACTCTATCACCCAGGCTGGAGTGCAGTGGCGTGATCTCAGCTCACTGCAACCTCTGCCTCCTGGGTTCAAGTGATTCTCCTGCCTCAGCCTCCCAAGTAGCTGGGACTACAGGCACCTGCCACCACACCCAGCTAATTTTTTTTTTTTTTTTTGTATTTTTGGTAGAGACAGGTTTCACCATGTTGGTCTGGCTGGTCTCAAACTCCTGACCATGATCATGATCTGCCTGCCTTGGCCTCCCAAAAGTGCTGGGATTACAGGGGTGAGCCACCACACCCAGCCTGCACACCTCTTTTCAAGAGCAAAACCAGTGCAACTCAAAGACATCAATCTTCTTGTAGTTAAGCTTATTATTATTATTATTTACAAGCTTGATGAACAGAGTTAAAAGAGAAGGGCAGAAGTTGGGAGGTGCCAGGGCAATCTTGTGATGTCTCTGGCATTCTTCCCCAGGGGGCATCCCAGCCCAGCCCCAGCCTAGCCCCCATGTCCGGTCCCCTCCTGCCCCTGTACTAACCCTGAAGCTGCTCGATAAGCGTCCATGCCATCCGAGAGCCGCTGGCATCAAACACCACATGGCCCTGAGGGAAGGAACATGTGGAGCAAGGCAAAGGAGACAAAAGCAAGAGTGAAAGAGAACATCAGGGACTCTTTAAATCCTTCTGTTTTTGATGTAATTGAGCCTCTGAATGAATGCTATTTATGGCATTTGCCTGCATATAGGACATACCCCAGATGCCCATACCCTAGATTTTAGAAACATTATTCTTTGGAGAAGGAGCTTCACTTATGAGATTTGAATGGGAAAAAATCCCCAGACAGAACACCAGCAGGCTTCTGGTTGTGTGGCCTAAGCAAGTCAGCAAATCTCTCTGGAAACTAATCTTTTCATTTTAAAAGGAATAAGAAGATGACCTTTCAGACTGTTTTGTCTTTCAAAATCCTATAGTTCTCATCTGACTCATGAATACTTGGTCTAGTTTGAAAAGAAATGAGGGGAGGGGTTTAAAAAAATGGAATACATCATTTTTTTTCCTCTAGTCTTTGATGGGTTCTTCTAATTTGAAGGTCCCTACTTCTCTGGTCGGAGACTGATTCTGCAAAGAAGTAACTGAGAAAAACAGAGAATGCATGTTTGTAGAAGGTGCCTCTTGGGAGTCTCTCTCAAGATTGGGAAGACAGGGGAGTATGAAGGAAGTTTTAACTCACAGAGACACCCTCAAAGGACGAAGAGTTCATTGCCCGGTAGATTTGGTCGGTAATGGTCTGGTTGTTGTAGTTGAAGTCCTCCAGGCGCACACCAGAACGGCCGCCTCCTCCAGATGTCTTGTTCAGGGCCAGTGCCAAGGCCCAGATGGCATCATAGGCCAGCGGTGCCTCCTGGAAGCCTCCTGTCTCCTCAGGGTGTCTTTTCAGTCGCTTGGTTAGTTTCTCCACAAATTCCTGGGATGTCTTGGGAGGAAAAAATCATGAGGAAAGAACTGAAATGTGTGTGGGTGTGGGGGAAGGGGTGCAATCCAATTCTGACTCAATCACTTCTACTTGAATGGATGGTTTGTGTTACTGTTGTCAGATTGGACACATGTACATTCAAAATCTTTAACTATACCCATGTGTCTGCCTTAGATCGGAAGCTACTAGACTAGAGTAGGTATTAGCTGTGTCTGATGGTGTTAGTGTGTACAGTTGCTAGCTCAGAACTGCAAACAGAGAATTTTGACAAACACTCTGGATAATTAGTGGCAAAGGATGGAAGGTAGAGCAGAGTAAAGGAGGAGACATGGATATTCCAATGAAGAGCTGTGACACTGATGTTCTCTGATCCTTCTGACTTTCTTCATAGAGTTAACCCAGGATCTAACAGCTCCTACAATTCCAAAAGATTCTAGAAAAGGTGATAGCAGTCTTCTCACTCTGCTTGCCAGCCAGGAGGATATTTCTTCAGCATGCTAACTTCTTGCCATTCTTGTGTGCTTTTGGTTCACTGCCTCTTAGAAGGCTTTCAGAAGAATGAAAACTACAGAAATACCCTTCACATTTTTGAAGTCCATTATCAATCCTACCCACACCCCTCCCAACACTCAACCTTCTTTTTCCATGAAAGCTAAAAAGAATGATAGTTCCTTTAACTCTCTCATGAACTGGGTCAAGAGACCTGACTTCATATACCTTGCAGTAACCTTGTTTGGCTAAATAACTGTAAGTAAATTACTTAACCTCTTGGAACTGCATTCTACATACTGGAGAAAATCACATCATTCCTTCCTTACCTCACAGAAACCATACAAGGAAAAGCTTAGCAACTACTTCTTGGGAAACCACAAGTAATACACAGGGGACCATACAAATAATTGTTTGGGTTTGGAATGTTTTAACACAAACGGTAATGAAAGAATAAATAGATGAATGAAGAATAAATAAATAACTTTGTTCCTCATGCCTTGCTCACTTTTCTCTCCAACTTTCTAGAGAGATAGAGGAGTGAGATACGCAAAGGGCACAGGCAAGGTACAGCAGTTGCTACTACACTGGGCTTTGAAGGAGCCTGGGCTTTGAAGATGCAATGGGCCTAGGTTCTACCCTTGAGGACAAGACCAAATCCCATGCCCTCTCTTAATCATCAGCATCTAGCACTGTGCCCAACCATAATGAAGTAACAATAAATGTCCATTGGATTAGGCCAGTGAAAATACTCTGTAAAGTATTTAATAGTAGATACGTCTCATTATACATTTGTCCAAACCCATAGAATATATAACACCAAGGGTGAACTCTAATGTAAACTATGGACTTTGGGTGATTATGATGTATCAATGTAGGTTCATCAGTTGTAACAAATGTACCACTCTGGCGGAGGATGTCGATAATGTAGAAGGCTATGCATGTGGGAAGCATATGGGAAGTTTCTGTACCTTCATCTCAATTCTGCTGGGAAACTAAAACTGCTCAAAAAAAAAAAAAAAAAAAAAAAGGCCAGGCACAGTGGCTCACACCTTTAATCCTAGCACTTTGGGAGGCCAAGGTAAGCAGACTGCCTGAGCTCAGGAGTTAAAGACCAGCTGGGCAACATGGTGAAACCCCATCTCTACTAAAATACAAAAAATTAGCTGGGCATGGTGGTGTGCACTTGCAGTCCCAACTACTCAGGAGGCTGAGGGCTGAGGTGAGAAAATCACTTCAACCCAGGAGGTGGAGGTTACAGTGAGCTGAGATGACGCCACTACACTCCAGCCTGGGCGACAGAGCAAGACTCCGTCTCAAAAAAAAAAAAAAAAGGCATTATAAAAAACAAGTCAGGCTGGGCACAGTGGCTCACACTTGTAATCCCAGCTCTTTGGGAGGCCAAGGAGGGTGGATCACCTGAGGTCAGGAATTCCAGACAGCCTGGCCAACCTGGTGAAACCCGTCTCTACTAAAAATACAAAAATTAGCTGGGTGTGTTGGTGGGCTCCCGTAATCCCAGCTACTTGGGAAGCTGAGGTAGAAGAATCGCTTGAACTCAAGAGGCAGAGGTTGCAGTGAGCAGAGATCACGCCACTGCACTTCAGCCTGGGCGATGGAGTGAGACTCTGCCTTTAAAAAAAAAAAAAAAAAAAGGCAGCCAGGCACAGGGGGCTCACGCCTGTAATCCCAACATTTTCATTTTCAGAGGCCAACGCAGGAGGATTCCTTGAGCCCAGGAGTTTGAGACAAGACTGGGCAAAACAGAGAGGACCCAACTCTACAAAATTTTTTTAAAAATTAGCCAGACTTGGCCTGGGCACGGAGGCTCACATCTGTAATCTCAGGACTTTGGGAGGTCAAGGCGGGCAGATCATGAGGTCAGGAGTTCAAGACCAGCCTGGCCAACATGGTGAAACCCTGTCTCTATGAAAAATACAAAAATTAGCTGGGCACGGTGGCTCACGCCTGTAATCCCAGCACTTTGGGAGGCTGAGGCGGGTGGATCACCTGAGGTCCGGAGTTCGAGACCAGCCTGAGCAACATGGAGAAACCCTGTCTCTACTAAAAATACAAAATTAGCCGGGTGTGGTGGCGCATGCCTGTAATCCCAGCTACTCCGGAGGCTGAGGCAGGAGAATGGCTTGAACCTGGGAGGCGGAGGTTGCTGTGAGCCAAGATCGCGCCATTGCACTCAAGCCTGGGCAATAAGAATGAAACTCTGTCTCAAAAAAAAAAATACAAAAATTAGCTGGGTGTGATGGTGGGCTCCCGTAATCCCAGCTACTCAGGAGGCTGAGGCAGGAGAATCGGAGAATCGCTTGAACCCAGGAGGCGGAGGTTGCAGTGAGCCAAGATCATGCCATTGCACTCCAGCCTGGGCAACAGAGCAAGACTCCATCTCAGAAAAAAAAAAAATTAGCCGGACTTGGCTTGGAGCAGTGGCTCACGCCTGTAATCCCAGCACTTCAGGAGGCTGAGGAGGGTGAATCATGAGGTTAGGTGTTCGAGACCAACCTGACCAACATGGTGAAACCCCATGTCCACTAAAAATACAAAAACTTATCTGGGCATGGTGGCACGCACCTGTAATCCCAGCTATTCAGAAGGCTGAGGCAGGAGAATCACTGGAACCCAGGAGGCAGAGGTTGCAGTGAGCCGAGATCACACCATTGTGCTCCAGCCTAGGCAACAGAGCAAGACTCTATCTCGAGAAAAAAAAAAAAAGTTAGCCAGACTTGGTGGCATATGTCTGTGATCCCAGCTTACTTGGGAGGGGCTGAGGTGGGTGGATGACTTGAGCCCAGGAGGTCAAGGCTGCAGCGATTGTACCACTGCACTCCTGCCTGGGCAGCAGAGGGATACTCTACCTCAAAAAAAAAAAAAAAAAAAGGCTGGGCGCGGTGGCTCACGCCTGTAATCCCAGCATTTTGGGAGGCCGAGGCGGGCGGATCACGAGGTCAGGAGATCGAGACCATCCTGGCTAACACGGTGAAACCCCGTCTCTACTAAAAAAAAAAAAAAAAAAAAAAAAGTCTGTTGGATAGATAAATGGATGAATTCATATTCTAATCATTTTACCTGCTATGAAATCTCAAACAAGTTATTAAACCTCACTAGTTGGTTATTCAGCTTTAAAATGAGAATAATACTATCTAAAATAGTATGAAATGAAATTAGAACATGTATAAAAATGCTGGGTATGAAGTAAGTTACATTTTCTCTACGTGAATTTCCTTGACTCTCAACCTCATCTTTGTTATTGATACTCAGATCTATAATTTCAGCCCAATATTTCAAGTCCATATTTCTTTTCTTTCTTTCTTTCTTTTTTTTTTTTTTTTTTTGAGATGGAGTCTTGCTCTGTTGCCAGGCTGGAGTGCAGTAGTGCGATCTTGGCTCACTGCAACCTCTGCCTCCTGGGTTCAAGCGATTCTTGTGTCTCAGCCTCCCAAGTAGCTGGGATTACAGGCACACGACACCACACCCAGCTGATTTGTGTATTTTTAGCAGAGACGGGGTTTCACCATGTTAGCCAGGCTGGTCTTGAACTCCTGGCCTTGTGATCCACCTGCCTCAGCCTCCCAAAGTGCTGGGATTATAGGCGTGAGCCACCGCGCCCAGCCTCAAGTCCATATTTCTAACTGACTCTGAGGCATTTTTAATGTATGATGAATAATCTCAAAATCAAAATATCCAAGATGAAGCTCAATTTTTTCTTACTCCCAAACAGCTCCCAGTAAATGAGACTGAAGCCTTGGAATTACATCAGACCCTTTCAAATCACTGAGTCCTCTTAACTCTTTTGTTGAAATGTTTCATTGATATCGATCCCTCCTTACACAGGATGATGATGATAATGATAACGATGATGGTGGCTAACATGTATACAGTCCTTAGGACGTATCGAGCATTTTCCTGAGGAAACTATATTACCTTATTTAATCCTCAAACAATCCAATGAGGTGTTATTATCCCCATTTTAGAGATAAGAAAACTGAGGCACAGAAAAGTTATATAACTTGCCTATAAAAAAGTTATACTATTAATGAGTAGCAGAGCTAATCCATACTCTTACCAGCCACCCTACACAGTCTCTGTACATGAGACTGCCTCTCTCTAAGAGCACCTGCACAAATAGCAGCTAGGCTAATACTTTGAGTAGTCTTTTGGCTTCAAATTGAAAGATTGGTCTATCCAATCTTCAGTTCAAGGTAAATATGGCATCAAAAAAATCACCCAGAAAGAAAGGGATTAATCTGCTCAGCACGATGCGGTCCCCTGCTCAGGTGGTCAGACCCTGTGCTCACGCCAGGTCACTACCACTAACACGCCTAACCACTGGGGGCACCACTGCTCCTGCCACCCCAAGAGTAAAGAAGAGTAGAATGCTTCCCCCTTGAGTCAGTAAAGATACAGTTATAGATTGTCAAAGAGACACTCTACTCTGCAGCTTAAGGAAATCTGAACAATAAAGACCCCTCAACCCACAGCAATTAGTTAATCAACCAAGTGCAAATTTATACCTAATTTTTTTAACAGCCTTGTCTGGCTCTCAAGAATGGATGCTTGACAGTGGGCTAAAATGTATATCTTGAGGTAGCTTTTTAGTTTGTACTGGTCCTAGGTCTGATGGGATCTCTACCCCAATCAAGATTTCCTCACAATCTTATCTCCAGGATGCCACCTCCCACATTCCCCTCTAGCCCACAGCTACATTTCTCTAAAACCACTCTAACCCACTCTCCATTTCCACATATTGCCCCTAAAGATGTTTTCTCTAAACTAGGGTTTCTCATTCTCTGCACTATTAACATTTTGAGCAAGATAATTCTTTGTTGCCAGGGGCTGTGCTTTGTAGGATATTTAGAATCATCTTTGGCTTCTACACATTAGATATCAGGAGCATGTATCCCTCCCCATCCCCTACCCCCAACTGTAACAACCAAAAATGCCTCCAGATAGTATAGCGTCTGAGTCTAGGGTAGTAGTTGAAAACCACTACCCTAACTAATAGTTCTCGAGGTGTGATCCCCAGACCAGTACATCTGCATCCCCAGGGACTTGCTAGAAATGTCAGTTCTCAGGCCCTAGCCCAGATCTACTGAATCAGAATTTCCAGGGGAAGGGCCTGATAACCTGTGAACTAACTACCTTTCCAGGTGGTTCTGACGGATGTTAAAGTTTGAGAACTATTGATCTAAACATAAGGCCATCCTTAGGGAATAAAAGCAACTCTGCTTCTTTTCTAAGTCTCCATGGCTCCGGCCCCCTAGGTCCAACCCTTGCTTTGATCCACTTCTATTTGTGCTGTTTGATTAATCTATAATCTCTTTTGCCCCTAACCTATTGTTAAGACTGCTCTATCCTCTTCAGAAAACATTGGCTTCCCCACTGGCATTTTAGGCTGGTCCCACTGGAAGCCCTATGGCCTCAAAAGCAGGAACCATCTTTCTCTAGACACAAAGTCAGAAAGGGACCTTCCAAGTCTTCCCACCCCAATGCTCAGGTGTCCCTCTATGTCCCTAACCATCTCTCTGTTCTCTCTCTCTCTCTTTTTGTTTAGAGCTGGGGGTCTCACTATATTGCCCAGGCTGGTCTTGAACTCCTGGGCTCCAGTGATCCTCTGCCTTGGCCTCCCAAGGTGCTGGGGACTACAGGTGTGAGCCACTAGATCCAGCCAAATCCCTGTTTTCTGTCAGCCTCCTCTAGCTCCCTGCTATAAGACAGAAGCAACGATTGGCAAGTCCTGGGCTCAGGGCACCAACAAGTCTTTCTGGCTTTGGTAGCCAGTTCCAATACTTTCCCAGGTTTTATGGATGACTCACCTCTTGGGTACTCTACAGGAAAGTGATCTTCCAAAATTTTTTCATTGTATTTTTCAACTAACATACCTTAAAACATAGAGTCCATTTAGAATGTCCCAAAACAGTGTGTATCATCAGAGTCCATGTGGCAGCAGATCTTTCATCACAACACACCACCAGAGTCAACTTCCTAAATCTTATTTCTCCTTTGCTCAGCAATTGCCAGTAGCTAAACAGTGTTAGCAGATAAAAGTACAAACTTTTTAGTCAGGCTTCATGGTTTTCCATGGGAAGTGATGAGCAGAGCAGTTTGGAGCCAGATTTAACTAGGATTCAATTCCAGCTGGACTGCTGAGTAGCTGCATGACCTGAGACAAGTCATTAAACCACTCTGAGTCTCATTTTCCTGGTCTACAAAATGTAGATAAGTCCACATCAGAGTTTTGCTGTTAGAATCCCTGAAATCATGAATCTAAGTACCACACAAATGCCACTGTTAGTAAAACTTTTTAAATCAAGCTATTTTGGGGCTTTACAACCATTAACTCACCCCTAACATGCTCTCCAAAGCAGGTACACACTTGGTGTAATAAGCAGACACATAGGTGGCCGTATCGAGCTTACCCAAAATTCCTGTACTCTTTACAATGTAGTGCTGAGCAACAAAGAAGCCTCTTCCCCTGTGCCCACACCCACACTCACTTCTGCCCCTCAGCTGCAGGGCTGCCCCAGCCCTCTCAAATCAGAGAATGCGCCTCCTCGCTCCAAGTCTGTCATTAACCAGCTGTCTGGGGCTAAATGATTTCAAAAGCCCCTTCTCCACATAAAATTCTAAAAAAAGAATCATTAAAAAAAGCAACAGGATCCAAGCTAATTGCATATCAATCATGAGTGAATATTAAGCAACTCTAAAACACTAACATAAATCACCAAGAAAATGAAATGCAATTCTGCCCAGACACAGTGCTCCTGTAAAGGTGTGCTTGAGTATACAAGCATCCATATTATCATTAATGCCGGTTCCTCCTGACTTCTCACCAACTGCTCCTCGTCTCCATGGTAACAGCCCTTCCACTCATCAGGAACCTACTGAACATACAACTCCATCGTTTTTTTTTTTTTCTCTCTCTACCCAAGGAAGTCAGAGCAAAGGTAGGATCCACAGGAAACATAATGCAGACAAGTTCAGGGTGGGCACAGCCCCCTCTTCTCCTTTATATCCAAATTCCGCACCCTCTCCCTGCCACCCTTTCCCCTGCAAGGCCCCCTCAGTCCTCTCCACCCTCCCAGGTGCCAGACTGCAAGTCCCCACACTCTCACCATGTTGGAAATGCTGCGGGTATTGGCAGGATTCAGCATGACAATCTCAGTTGTGATGTGGCCCTCCACCGCCTCAGTCATCTCATCCACTGTGCAGTTGATAGAAGGGTCGTAGATCTTGAACCAATTGTCAGCATACCACCCAATGAGGAACCAGACGTACTTCTTCCCAAAGAGACGCTCCTTGTACACCTGAATACAGAGGAGAATGGCTGAGTTTTTGTTTGCTCATTTGTTTGTTTTTGTCTTATCTCACTTGATACTATTTAGCCTCTTGGGAATCAGGGAAGAGCAGTAGAACTAAAAAGAGAAATCTACAAGTCTTGGGGATAGTAGGAAAGGCTGACAATTCTTCCTTCTAAGTTTCTCCCCAGCCCCTGTATTTCTGAGTGGCCTTTTCCAGCCAGTCAGGACAGATGGAATTCATGGGCTTCTCAGGAAACACAAAGCAGTAGAAAAATGAGATCTGAAGAAAGTATCATGTGTGTGCAGACAAGGGATGCAGTCAGAGCCAACAGACAGAGACATCCTATGAATCGTCACCTCAGATCATATGCTATCAACTCAGGCACAGATGCCAAGAGGAGGCCCCACAAGAAAACCAAGGGAAACTCCCACCCAGTGCCCCTCCCTCTTCAGATCCAACTCCACCTCACAAAAAACTTTCCGGGCTTCAGTCTCATAGAAAAGTCCCACGATGATTCGGGCATCCTGGCGCTACAACAGAGAAAGAAACAGCTCCTGAGGGATGCCCGGGAATGCCTGAGGGGCTAAGCCAGATGTCTTCACAGCTTTGATTTCCCATCCCAAAGTGCTTAGTGCAGGGTAACGCTCAACGTATAGTGAATAAACGTCAACTGGAAGATGGAGCTAAACTTCCCCAGGAGATGCTATTGCCTCAGAGAATCAAAACCTGCCCCCGCCTGGCTTTCCTCTCCAACCAGTCACTGTCCCCCAGCTTGGTCCCTCCGTAAACAGAGCCCACCACTCCCAGCCATCTGACCTTCAGGTTTTTGACGGGCACAGCTGGATCTGAGAAGAAACTCTGGCGGAAAGTAATCTCAATTCCAGCCTCCTTCACTCGTTCCTCCAGGTCGTCCAGAGTCTTGGGTGGGAATAAAAAACAAGTTGGAAAAACACGGGGTGCATGAGGGAATAAAGACCAGAGAGGTTAACTGGGGATTTCAGAGCAATACTCAGATAGAGCAAAGAAGCAGCCATTCTGAACCTTCCTTCAACAGCTTCTGTCCCTGAAGTGAGGAGTTCGGGAAGGCATCTGGTCTTAGGATGTGGATTCCAAGTGGGAAGGTGAATGGTGAGCCCCTGCTGAGGCTCTGTGTGGGGGAAGCCACTCCATTCACCCACTCCTACCACTGAAGGCAAAGATGGGGTAAAGAAACATAAAGGAACCAGGAAAAGACAAGGCAAGGACTGGGACAGACAGCATGATGTCAACCTCAAGAGGCAAATGGGCAGACAGACAAAGGATCAGAGAAGAATGGTCTGAATCAGAGTGAAAGTGGGGGAGGATTAAAGGGCCACTGAACACAGTGGATAGAAGACCCAAAGAATAGAATAAAAGGGAGGGAGCAGACTGCCTTCTTCAGATGTAGAGCCTGTATTTCCTCTCTACCTCCCCAAATCTCCCTCTTCCCCCTCAACCTCTCCTTGTCTGTCGGCTTCTCTCTCTTAGTACCAACTACCAGATCCATGCAGCTGCCTTTCTGCCCCTCTCTCTCCTCTCCCTCATTCCTCTCTCTCTCTCTCTTTCCTCTCCCTCTCTCCTCTGTAATCCACTGGCTCCATCCCCTCTGTTCCCATTCACACCCACCCACCACCCCCCTTGAAAGCCTCTGGAATCTGCTGCCTTCCTGGATTCCTATCTCATCTTCGCTCCCATCTCTTGCCCCCACTTTGGATTGAACCTACTTTAACAGAACTGAGTCATTCTGGGTCTATATGTCTGGGGAACAGGGCATCAAACAGGGGAAAAAAATCATAAAATCATAAAGACAGAGAGGATCCCAAAAACTCAACTCATTCTTTCCCCTGGCTACAGAAAGAACTGCACTTAATCCACATGGAATGCGTTCTCTTTCAATGAAGAATCAAGTTCTTGCCCCTAAAAGTGACTCTCACGTCACATCTCCTGGTGCTGGAATTTGAGCTTATGTCCCTTTACCCCTTGCCCAACCCCTCCTCACCGAAGTGAAGACCTCAGTGGTCTGCTGGATGGTAGCAATCTTCTTCCAGCCCCACTTTTCAAAGAGTTTCACGCGGGTAGGGTTGTGGAGTGTGGCTGATGGGTGCGTTCGGAAGAAAGTGGGGAAACGCTGCCGGTTTGACAGGGCTGGTGAGCTGGAGCCATAGGAAAGCTGTGGGGCAGGGAGAGTGAGTGCAACAGGGTCTGTTCACTGAGGACACCAAGAGTGGCCAAGAGTTCCTTTAACCCTCTTCCTGCCTTTGGGTTTCTCTTCCTTACTCTCTCCAAACCTCCCCACCTCTGGTCTGCCTAAGGAAAAGAGATTCTCAAAGGCCCACACACCCCTCACAACCGGGATGCTCTTTCACTGATCTAATTTCAATTCCTTCTGAAGAAGGAGGTCAGCTGCAGCACTGTCAGGCCACTGTTGCTAGGAGGCTGCCTAGCTCAGGTCTGCAGAGGACTCTGAATCTTAGTAGCAGGTCCTCCACACTCCTTTTCAATACAAACCCACAATCGCCATCGTCCCTTCAGTAGAGCTCAAAAGGGAATGACCCCATCTTCTGACCCCCATAGCCCTGCTTACCACAATGAGGTTCCACATCCTAGCAGCCTCAGCCACCAGCGTGGAGACAGAGCTGCAGCCAGGCATAAGGATGATCTTGATAGGGTCGTTGTAGAGCAGCTCATATAGGTACTTGGTGGCTTGGCCTGGATCACACTGAAAGACAAGAGGAGATGAGGGCAAGCTCTCCTGGGGCCCCTCCCCTGTCTGCAATTCCTGCTCTTATCTTTCTCGAACAAATTAGTTCCTTTCTCAATTACTCACTTTCATCATTAATTACCGTTTTCTTCTCCTTTCTGGCATCTCTTCCTGTCAAGTGCCTTTTTTCTCCTCTTTCATTAAACTTCCTTCTCTGTCTTCCATCTGGAGCCTTACCCATCACCTCTCCTGCACACCCCTCCTTTGGTATTAATGAACATACCACCTTACCTCCTTTCAGCTCACCCTCAGACATCCCCCTTCCCTCTGTCACCAAGCCCTTTACCCCATGTTTCTATGCTTCAAACACCAGTGGGTGGAAGAAGTCAGTAGGAATACGGTAAACTCTTTCCACATCCCCAGATAGCTTGCTCAAAGCCATATTATGAAAATTCCTTCCTCACCTCTGCAAACCCCTTCTCCCCACCTTCCATTTGTTTCCTCCCTCTTCTCTTTTCAGAGCTAGTGATAAGTAAAGAGAGAACAGGAACAAGACCAGTAGGGGGTCCCGCTCAGTGATCCATCCCTCCTGCTGGGCGCTGACATTTGACAGGTCCATTAGAAAAAAAGACACTGGGGGGTGGAAGTAGGGAAGAATGTAGGATGAGGAAAGAACAGAGAGAATGAATAGAATGGAACTCTCAAGAAACCAGACAATTTGAGAGGTGCCTTAAAGAGAGGCTTGGAGCTAGGGAAAGTAAACAAGCAGAAAGCTGGAGAAGAAAGGAAGCTTGGGAGGAGGGGAAATGGGGGAGGAAGAGCCAGCCTTGGGTCTCCCACTGCCTGTTCCCCTCCCACTGATATATGACATTTCAGAAGCTGCTGGAACCCCAATGCATGTGAAGACGAAATGGCAGCCAGTGGG
Source organism: Homo sapiens (assembly GCF_000001405.40). NCBI lineage: Eukaryota > Metazoa > Chordata > Mammalia > Primates > Hominidae > Homo > Homo sapiens. The sequence goes on from NT_167245.2 coordinate 890,482, forward strand.
GAGCCAGGGCAGAGGGGACACAGACAGGGGGCTCAGGGGACTAAGGAGGGTGAAATGTTGCCAGGAGGGGAGGATAAGTAGAAAGGAAATAAAGAAAGCACTCTGGAGCCTGCTTACCTCCCACTGAGGCCTGACATTTGGGACACGGTGGGAAGTTGGAGAAGGGGGAGCCAGGGGAAGCTGTTGGAATCTGAAGAACCAGCAGTCACTGAGAATTCTCTGTTGCCCACCCTACCCTCACTCTGGCCAAGGGCAGTGCTCAACAACATTGGAAGGTTTTCTCTTTATGCCTCCCACTAGGGCAACTTTGTAAATCTTTACCATTCTCAGGACCCACCTTCCTGCACTCTCCCCACATCTATTACTCCAGATCCTGCTCCCAGCTTCTCCCACAGCCCCTCAGTGCCCCTCCACTTCTCTAAAGACAGGGTTAATAGGAACAATGAGGACATACAAGAACATATAAGATACATATCAACAGGGCAAGGCATGCCCCCCATTTTGTTTCCTGATTTCTTATCTACCTTTTCTTGCAACCGTTTCCCTCTTCCACACACTATTCATCACTGCAGATTCTCTCCACCACGTGATTCTCTCCCCCTCCCCAATAGATTTCCTTAGTTCTCCTCCCTCTCTTTGCTCTTGCAAGGATCTGGATTTGCAGGCAGGAAACCGACTCATTCCAATTGACACATTCTGGTTCTTCTGCCTTCCCATCCCACCCCGCTTGATGCCTCTGATGTTCTCCAGTTCCCTTCTCCCAGGTCCCACGTCTGCTCCCCGCCACCTCCAGGGAATCACCTGTCATGGTGGATGAGTTTGAGCTCACAGCCAGGCCTCCCCTATCTCCTGTGATCCCCTATCATAAAGCCTGCACCCATCTCTCCCTGTCATTTTCTTCACACTCCACTCCCCAAAACCAATGATCTCTCTGACTGTCCCAAGTCTGACCCTCTACCAGATCTGATCCTCTACTTCTCTTCCTGCCTCCCGTACCCTAATACCTAATTATTTTCCTGTACCCTGCTGCTCTTCCCATAGGCATTCTGGGGTTAGCTTACAGCTCAGGAATCCACCAAGATAGGATGTCTATTAGTAAAAATACAGATAAATACTTGGGATTCATCCCTGACCAAGGAGCTAGAATCTGTATTTTTAACAAACTCCTCTGGTGATTCTTATGTACACTGAAGGCTGAGAACCACGAGAAAGTAACAGTCAAAAAGGATTTTAAGTTCTCTTGCCAAGCTCCTGATAATCCTTGTGCTCTCTTCTCTTCAAGCACCCTACCTTCAACCTCACTTCTGTCCCCTCACACACCTATCCCAGACACACACCTATTTCTAGGTGTATAGTGATGTTCTAAAAATGAATATAAATCCTTGGATCACCCCAAGGTTGATATTTGGTAAGATCACCAAATTCTCACCTTGTGTACTCTATTTCACCCTAACCCAATTCCTTAAGTCTCTGGGGCCACATGTCAGTGAAGATAAATTTGAGATCTTAAATCTCCTTCCCTGTGTCACATCCTTCCCTGCACCCCCAATTATTCATGTAGGGGAGAGGGGTGGGAAAAAAAACCTCATTATAAGCTATCCCCTAATACCCCTGGACCCAAATTTGCTTACCTTCTCTCTCTCCCTCAACTCACCTCCCTAATCCCTACATCCCATTTCCCTTCTCACATCCTAGAGGCCACAATGCTATAAGGGAAGGGAAGGTCAGGACCCAAGTTCCATAAGGTGCCCCAAGATCTCTCATTATCCCCACGCTACCTCCTTGCCCCTCTCCCCCACTGCCATTCTTTTCTGTTCTCTTCTCCTTGTATGTTGACTCTTCTTCATCCCCATGCTATTGTGGGGGTTCCCATGTGGATCCCCAATCCAATTCATTTTCCCAGTGCCTCTGCCCACCTCTTGATCATTAGCCTTCCCCAATCACCATATGCCATCTATCCCACAGTCTGGGAATGCTCAACAGGGTTGGGAATAGAAGGATGAGAAGGAGTCAGGTAGGGCTCACCACTACCTTGCTGTTTTGTTAAGATAAATAAACTAGAGCTCTCAAGTCTCTCAAAATTTTCCTCATTCTGTCCCTATTCCTTCCAGCTCCAACCTACGCCAAGATTTTACCTTGTTACCATGGTAAATGTAAACCCCCAATCCAGCTCCCCACCTCTGACATTCCCTCCACCCCCAACCCATTCCAGGGTTAGTTTACTCCCTCAGAGGATCAGTGTCTCCTAATACCTTAAATCCACCACCAGTTTCTCCAAACCCCGACACTTCTGCGAGACTCCCGCAGCGGGGCAGAAGGGTCTGCCTTGCAGCATGCTTAACCATCTTGAGCCCCTAGACCCTCATCTTGGACCTCCAGCCCCTGCGACTCTCCCCAAGCTCCTGCACCCCCAGCCCATCTCCTGCCAGTCACACAAGGGAGGGGTCTGCCTCGCAATCCCAGAGACGACTCAGACAGATGGGGGCGCGTGCAGCTGGCTGGCCCCCTGCCCCGCAAGCCCCCACCTCCCACCCACCCCCATGTCCAGGGCTACCTTGCTGTCGTGGTGGATGAGCTTGAGCTCATAGTCCGGCAGGATGTCCCTGCGGCTATTCACGTCCTCCAGCGCCATCTCCACCGCGGGCTGGCAGGCCTGGCCCCCTGGCCAGCCCCCGCTCATGGGAAACAGTGCCCCGATGTACACTGCGCGCCGTTCTGAGGAGGGGTGCGGGGGGACCCGCGAGTGAGGCCGCGGGAGATGGGGGGAGTGGGAGGCCCACACCGGAGCCACCCCTGCCGCCATCACAACCAGAAGCGGCAGTGGCCACCCCACCCGGGCAAAAGGGGCCCCGGGCCCCATGGCGTGGGGGGCAGGGGTAGCTGTTGGGGAGCGTTAGGAGCTCAGGGGGGACACTTTTCCTGGGGAGGGCTGCTAAGAGGGTGCCGGGGAGGCGCCTCCATCCCTGATTTTGTGGGGAGGAGGGGGCGAGGGCCCCGGAGAAGCAGGGAAGGTTGGCTTCCTACGGCCCCCGCGGCTCTCGCCACCGTCGCCGCCACCGCGGACTCTCCTCGCGGACTGACTGACCGACGGAGGGGAGGAGGAGGAGCAGGAGGGAGATGTGGGGCTGGGAGGGGGCTCTGACGTCACGGGCGGCGCGCGGCAGCGGGGGGTGGGGGGGCGGGCGGGAGCTGGGGAGGCAGGAAGGGGGCGGGGAGGGAAGCGAGCGCCGAGGTGGGAGCGACAGTCGGAGGGGCGGGGAGGGGAGGGGGGATGCAACCTCGAGGAGGAAAGGAACGAAAGAGGAAGGGAGGGATCTCACTTAAGGGGACCCGAGGGGAGGAGAAATGGGGACGGGGCGTGCCAGGAGGGCGGGGTGGGCGGAGGGAGCCGCGGGAGGCTGAAGCACGGAGGAACCAGGGTAGGAAGGGAAGGATGCGAGTGGGACGGGAGAGAAACGGGGCTGGCGCCTGAGGTCTGAAGTGGGAGTATGAGTCGATACAGTGAAGCACTGAGGATGTGGGGGAGAGGAAACGGTTTTGGAGGGAACGAGTTGGGTACGGAAGGGAGGCTGGTTTGAGGGAGTGGTGGGGTCGTGGAAGGGAGCCTGGGGCTGGGTAGACAGAAGCCTAAGAAAGGGAGACAGGACATGGAATTGAGAAAAGACGAGGGAAGGGGTACACGGAAGGAAAAGATGTGGGGAAGAGCGCGAGAGGCCTGGCCAGGGTTGGGATGGGTGGGACAGGCTGAGAAAGTCCATTAGGTGAAATCCTAGGAGGCAGCAGGCTGGAAAAGGTTCCAGCGAAGGTCGCAAGGAACCCCACAGGGGAAAACGTGGTGGGAGCTCAGGGTCTCCCAGCACCCTGCCGCCCTCTGCTGGGCTCTGCCTGACACCGGCGAGGCTCAGTCTGGGAGGAGGTGGAGCCCAGGGAAGTGTAGCCAAGCAGGGACAAGGAGAGACCGCAGCCTCGTGGAAAACCGGGACTGGAGGCAGGAAACAGGTAGGGAGGGAAGGGGGTGGCCGCAAACTGGGGTGGGTTGGGGAAGGTGCGAAAGGACGACGCCCCGTAGCCTAAGGGCAGAATTTCAGGGGGGTGGAGGGTGCAGAGTGAAGGGGAGGGCATTGCAGTGCGCGCGGTAAGGGTTTCTCATCTCACCTGAGTGTGGCGTTCGATTCACTGGCAGCAGGAAAGACGGGGATCAGAGAAGAGTTACCACTGGCGCCCAGCTTCCCTGGCCTGATCCCCAGCCCCCTCCCACACCTGTCCATGCTGAAGACCGGGGAGAGCAGAAGCCTGCGTTTCTGAGGGGAGGGTGCCTGGGGATAAGAACAAGGTGGGTCTGGGGGTAAGGGGGTCAGGACTTATTTTCTTCTTCGATTTTTCATAGGACAACAGAATTTGAGACGGGAATGCCAATAGCTAAGTTTGGGGCAGATCTTGGTTCTGTGGTGCCTGAATATTACAAAATTGGGAGTCTTTAAGAAAAAAAATTACACATACAATTGGCTTTAAGCAATTGCTGTTAAAATCTTATTTCTGCAATTTTTACAAAAGCCTGTTACCATATGAACACATATCCATCGAGCCCTCTATATTATTAGAGCACAGGAAGAGGGCCCTGTAGGTGAGGAACCTTGAAGTCTAAGTTTCAGTAGTGTCATAAGTCCACCCCTGGATGGGACTCTCAATTTCCAGAATAAAATGGTAAACTAGAAGCAGAATAACTGAGTTATGTGAGGAAAGTAAAGCCCAAGGATCTTGAAAGAATCTACCAGGGTAGAGGAAGTATGAGGCATACAAATGGGATGACTGCATCCCAGGAGAGAAGATGGCAGAGAGTTCGGGTGCCTAGAAAAGGGAGAGTTTGTAAAATTACGTGGCAAAAAAAAAAAAAAAAAAGTAGACAGACACAACACTGATTCCCTTAGGGAATAATGGAGGTTGTCTAGGAAGTACAGAAAAGGACCTGTCTTCTTCCCACCCCATCCCTGAGTTGTTCTTCATCTTCTGATAATGCTGCCTCCAATTTTAAGTCTTTTACCCTAATATGTTTCCACCCCCAGAGCTCCCCTTCTCAATTTTTCTTAGTAGAATGTTTGATTTATTTCTGAGTCTTTACAATAAATCAATTATATAAGGAATGGTGAGGGATGAATTCTAGAAGAGGGTGATGCATGGAAATTTCTAAGTTTAGAGAAAGGGAAAATTGGAGTATTTAAACCTGAAGAAGGTGAGAGAGGTGAGATTCATAAAGGAAAAGAGAAAACGTGAGGTCTAAGAATCGGGAGCAGGAAGATTTTTTTAAAAGGTAAAGGAAGGAAGCCCCCAACCTACAGAGGATACCGGGGACTGCAAGAGGAAGTTTGAGGCAGGTGATGGAGGAAAAAGGGACTTTCATCTCCCCTTTCCAGTGTCCTCCCCCACATTTTTATAGCTCTCCATTCTTTCCCATTATCCATTCCCACCCCACTCCCATCCTCACACAAGCGTCCTCATCAGCTGCATGCAGGCAGCTGTTCCCCTCACCCTGGCAGTGGGGCTTGGGGGTGCTCCACTGGCCCTGACTACAGATGCTCCGGGAGCTGCCCACCAGATGGAAGTCGGGGTCACACCGGAAATCCACCCGGGCTCCGTCCAGAGCTGGGAGGTCCCCACCCGTCAGGAAAACCTTCCCATTTTCCAGGGTCAAATAAGACTTGGAGCAGATTCGGACTGTGGAGAGATAGGAAAATAAGAAGAGAGGCGAGTTGAAGAAGGCTCTTTCCCTTTAAAGAGCAGGGGACTCAGGTGCAGGTTTGGGTCCACAAGCATCCTGCTCTAAAGAAAATCACATGTGAAAAGGATTTGCCTACCTATCTTCCAATCCTCCCTTACCTGTGCAAGCATCCACACATTCCCAAAAGAAAAAAAAAATTACCATTTTAGGAACCCAAGATGGGGCTATAAGCACACAAAATGGGATCTCTTCAAAGTCAGCTACAGTGGGCGGTTCTCTGGCTTTGAAATATGTAGATGTATATAACTTTGGATGCACAATCAGATTTGCTTTTCTTATTATAGTTGGCTTCTATTAATATTAAACTGGCTTTTGTTTCTTGGGCATATGGTCTCTGGGTTGGTGACAGAGGTATTCAAAAATGTGATGAAATCATTTTAGAATTTTTTTGTCATCATCTGCCACTAATGATCCTCAAAGAGAATAACTGACAAGATGAATTATCAATGTTATAGGCCAATGATCAGTGGCCTAATGAAGGGAGGATGAAATGAACTGTGCAGGCTGCTAGCTCTACTACCTCCAACCGCACAGAGCAAAATTGCTCTTATGTAGTAGTCATTCAATAAATGTATTTGTGAATTTTGGTATACTGGATTTAAAGTGCTGACTTGCAAGCAGTAATGCTAAGTTTGCGGCAGGAAAAGGAATAGTCTTGAAGAGGGGAGGGGCTTCCGAGGCTACTCACCACAGCGGCTGGGTGTGTCCATATCTGTCCAGGAGCCGTTGGCCAGGCACTTGCGGACCTTGGGCCCCACCACCTCGCGCTCCCCCCGGCACACATACTCAATCTCATAGTCCACTGGCAGGAAGTTGATAGCCTTCACCTGGTCCCGAGTCAGGCCCCGGTACCTGATGCCCCCTTCCCAGGGCGGGTGTATGATCTGGCAACCTAAGGGGTGAGTCGGGGAGGCATACAGAGAGGAATGGTGGGAAAGAGGAAAAGGCAGGCTCCCCAGTGGGAGGAAGGGGAGAGTAGGGCGTGGTCTGTGGGCAGGCTGGGGACAGAGGAAGAGGGATGGGGCACTAGAGGGTGGGAGTGGGGACAGGTACAGATCCCCTGGCTAAAGGACAGAGAGTAAAGGGCCAGGGTTAAAGCTGATGAGAGAACCCACAAGTGGGGAGGGAAGGGTGCTGGGTGGAGGTAAGAAAGAAAAGTAATTAAGAAATCATGAAGGGTATGATATGTGGGTGGAGCTTTTCTTTAAAAAAAAAGGCTAAATGAGGATATTCGAGTTGAATTAGGATAGGAGGATAAAGGGAGGCTAATAAGATCATCTGGACAGCAAAGTGGGACCAAGAAAAGGGAGTAATTGAGGTAGTAATGTGGGGCTGGGAAAGGGGATTGAGGCGGAGAAAATGCACAGGAAGGTGGTATAGTGTAGCAATGTGGGCAGAGAAAAGAGGTGCTGGATAGTAACGTGGGGTGACAGAAGGAGGTCAGCAGTAGTAAAGTCGGGCCGAGCAGAAGGGGTTGCCAGACCGGGATGATATGTGGGACTGATGGGATAGTGATGAGGACCAGAAATGAGGAGATGCAGGGAAAGGGAAGTGGAGCGAAGGAGGGCCGGAGGTCGTCGAAGAAGGATGCACCTTCTGAGGTGGCGTTGGGGGTCTGCGCCCCGCCCGCGCCCGGGGGGCGGAGGAAGAGTGGCGCCAGTAGCAGCAGCAGCAACATCTAAGTGAGAGGCGGCCATGAGGACTGGACCGAGCCCCGCCGGCGCGGCCCGCACCCGGAGACTACTCGACCTCTTGCCGGTTGCCTCGCAGGCTCCGACCGGGCTCAGCCTGGGGACCAAGAGAGCGCCCCGCGGAGGAGGCGGGGGCGGAGCCCCGCGCGGGGTGGGGGGAGAGGAGGAGAGAAAGCCTGTCCCCACCCTCCTCCTGCCTCCCTCGGCCCCCAACCCTCCCGGGACTCCACCTCTCACCACCTCCTCTCCCCCGGCCCCCGCGGCTCGCAGAAGCCTGGCTTACCCACGCTCCCGGCATCGGCCGCCTCAGCGCTCCCCGATTCCATCCCCGCGGTTCCTCCTCTCCCCCAGCCCCGCTTCCCCCAGCTGGGCCCTGCGCCCACTGCCCCCTCCCCCACCACGCCGCGCGCCCCCTCTCCGAGCCCTGCTAACCCGGGGCCCTGGCTCTTACCTCGGCGCGCGGGCCCGGCTCCCCGGCTCTCCCCGGGCCTCAAGGCCCCAGGCCCGGCCGCTCCTCCCCGCTCCCCCCTCCCTTCTCCTCCACCTTTCTCCTCCTCCCGTCCCTCCTCCCCTCGAATCCAGGCTCCAGCCTGGCCAGGGTCTCTCCCCTCCTCTCTCGCTTCCCCCAAACCCCACCCCTGTCTCTTCTTCCCCGGGGCGGCGGCAGCCACGGGAGCGGGGAGCGGGGAGCCGGGAGGGAAGGAGGCGGCGCCGGGGACCAGGGAGAGCTCCCGGGCGGAGGGAAGAAGGAGGGTGCAAGGGAAGGCAGGGCGGGGGGAAGAGAGGGGAAGACCGGGGAGAGGGCGCCTCCCACAACCCGAGCCCCGGGAGCCGCCCCGGATCCCAGCCCCGCCCTGGACCGCCCACAGCGCGGTGGGGCGGGCGGTGGAGAGGCGCGGGGCTGAGAGGTGGGGGAGAGGGAGGTGCCCTGGTGCACACGCACTCGTCGGGGGGCGCCGGTCACTGCCGAGGGACCTGCGGGCCAAACAACTGGAAGCTGGGGTGGGGGAGAGGGAACCCGAGCCAAAGGCAGAGGAGCTGGCGCTGAGACAGGGAGTCTGGGATGAAGGTGGAGAAAGACGGCTGCACAAAGAGAAGGCAGCCCTAGATCCGGGTGAGAGGAGAGAGGCAGAGGCAGATGCCCAGGAGAACTGCGACCGGAGGGCGAGAAAGAAGCCTGGGTCAGAAGGAGGTGGGGGAGGGGGACTGAGGACCACCTAAGCGCAAGAAGGGTTGGGTGTAGAAGAGATTTCTGGGAGACTAGAGCAGCTCCATGGTCCAGCAGCATTGCTACTCGCCTGCTCTGCAGGGAACGCGCAGAACGGATTGGAGGCAAAAAACAAAACAGGGAGGGGGACATCAAGGAGAGAAATTGAAGTACGAAGGGAGTAAAAGGACAAGAGAAAAGAACCTCAGGGTGGTTTAGAAGCCAGTATTACCTGATGTACTCCAGCAGAGCCTAGCAAACAGTATTTCTTGACCAAGGGCAAACTGGAAGCTCTAAAGACAGCAGGTACAGACCTTTTTGACGGCTCCAGAAGCTCTTGGCTATACCTTGAAGTGGAGGGGTGTGTGTGTGTGTGTGTGTGTGTGTGTGTGTGTGTGTGTGTGTGTGTTGTGCTGTTGTTGTTCGTAGGCCTGAGTTTGGGCTGGGAGAGGAAACAGTGGGCTCCTTGTTGGGGGGGACAAAAAAAAAGCTGCTTTCTGGCTGGTCCTAGGGGGAAAAATGGTAGGAAGAAACCAAACACTGAGAGACTGACTAGAATTGAGATTCTCAACCTCCAACCCTTTTTTACAATAAATATTTTGTAATGACACTTTTACTGTCCTAAATTGAGATTCATAGATGAGGCTCACGCCTGAAATCCCAGAACTTTGGGAGGCCGAGGCGGACTGATCACTTGAGCTCAGGAGTTTGAGACCAGCCTGGCCTGGCCAGCATGGCGAAACCCCATCTCTACTAAAAATAGAAAAATTAGCGTGGTGTGATGGTGTGCGCCTGTAATCCCAGCTGAGACACCAGAATCGCTTGAACCCGGGAGGCAGAGGTTGCAGTGAGCCAAGATCGCACCACTGCACTCCAGCCTGGGTGACAGAGCAAGACTCCATCTCAAACAAAAAGAAAGGGAAGGAGGGAGAGAAAGTCATAGATGATATAACCTACCTACATACACAACTTTAAACAGAAAGCAAAATGCTTCCCTTTCTGTAACGTAAAGGGGAAATGAAAGAAAAGTAACTTGCAATAAAATAACATAAACAGTATTTTAATGTGTGAGTGCCAAGGCCCGACTACCCTAGAAGTCCTGATGGAGTAAGCAGATGCTTCCACCTATTCACAGAACCACGGGGATGAAACTGCTACCAACACAGGCTGATCCAGGTGCTGAGTTGGTGACTCAACTACCTCCAGCATGTTGCCATCAATGAAGTGATTTAACAAAATGTTGAACAACTCTTGGTAGCAAAGTTAATTTTCCCTAATTTTACACACAACTATAATTGCATTCCTAGAAAGTTCACTGTATATTTAAAAAAAAATTTTAAAACTGTATTAAGTTATAGGCTCAGATAATTAAACACAGGTTTTCACTACGTGAATGTCCTGGGGGACTTTTGAGAATCTGGGTGAGGAACAATTCTTCAACATGTAGGTAGTGCTTTGAAGAATATCTTACACCTCTGCCCCAACCATAAATGTCAATAGTGCCCCTTCCCTTATCACCTGAGGTTGGGAGTTCGAGACCAGCCTGACCAGTGTGGAGAAGCCCCAACTCTACTAAAAATACAAAATTAGCCAGGCATGGTGGTGCATGCCCGTAATCCTAGCTACTCAGGAGGCTGAGGCAGGAGAATCACTTGAACCCGGGAGGCGGAGGTTGCAGTGAGCCAAGATCATGCCATGCCATTGCACTTCAGCCTGGGTGACAAGAGTCAAACTCAGTCAAAAAAAAAAAAAAAAAAAAAACAGCTAAAAGATGCATCAAAATGTTAACAAGGATTGCCTCTGGGCCATTAATTGTTGCATAACTTTTCTTTTTTACTTTTTTTTTTTTTAAACAAGAAGTTTATTTAAACAACAAGACGCTTGACTTGAAGGGAAAACTATCTAGGATTCTTTTTTGTTTTAGAGTAATTTATCCCTACTTAAAGACAGATTGCTCTGCATGTAACAGCTAAGTACAAAAAAGTTATAAAATTGTCCTTGGTTTTACAATGATAAATGAAAAACATTAAAATTCTCCAATTGAACAAGGTATGCAAGGATTTTTATGTTGTTGTTTTTTTGTTGTTGTTGTTAAAACAGTGAGAGCAAAATAACTTACTGGAATATAAAGATAAGAGCTGAATGAGCATGCCACTAATGGAGAAAGGGGGTATTTTCACAGAATCAGTATTTTCCCCCCCGTCTCCACTTGATGTCAATCAAAACATACCATTGGCTGTTTAGTTTTAAAAAAAAAAAGTAATATGCTTGTGCACATATACCAGTTACTTTATGTACAGTAAAGGAATGGGGAAGGGGGAAATGAAAGAATAGAGAAAACTATACGGTAGTAGTCAGGATGTGGTGGAAGCAAATTGCAGTTTTCTAATTGAGAATGTAATCTTGGTCTTTAAAGAACAGAGTTCTGGAGTAAAGAAGCAGGTTCCCTTTTCAGTAGACACCTCCCGTCTGCTGTTGGAACACATCAATTGTATCTTCATCCTCCATTTCCAACTGTGCAGGTGTGTCTGTTTCATTGGTTGCCCGTCGAATCGGAATCTGATCTGCCTCATTGACAATCCCTGTCGTTCACAATAGGCTTTCATTAGTTTACTAAGTGGTGTATGCCTCTTAATCTTAAACTGCACCACAGAACCATCCTGCCCCGCCACCTTCAAATTAATATGATCGTTGTTCTCAGTCTTGACTCCTTCCTTGGGCTTTTCTTCGGCCATGGCGAGCGCCGGAGTCTCCTCAGCTGCCGCTTCACAAAAGAGGTACCAGGTCCGCTCCAAACGAGCACACAAGCAGCACCAGGAGCGGCAGAAGAAGGAGGCGGCAGCAGTGGACAAGGGGAGAGGGTGCGCGCACGTCGTGCTCTCCCTCCCTCCACCCTCACTTTTCTTTTTTTTTCTTTCTTTTTTTTGGTGGGGGGACGGAGTTTCACTCTTGTCACCCAGGCTGGAGTGCAATGGCGTGATCTCGACTGACGGCGACTTCCGCCTCCCGGATTCAAGCGATTCTCCTGTCTCAGCCTCCCGAGTAGCTGAGACTACAGGTGCACACCACCATGGCTGGCTAAATTTTGTATTTTTAGTAGAGACAGGGTTTCACAATATTGGTCAGGCTGGTCTCGAACTCCTGACCTCAGGTGATCCACCTGCCTCAGCCTCCCAAAGTGCTGGGATTACAGGCATAAGCCACTGTGCGGGGCCTGCACACTTTTCTTTCGTCATATTTGTTGTTCAACTTTTATTCAAATGTTTTACAAGTGTCTCCTCTATAAATCATTTTTAATTGATTTATAAAGGTTTAAAGAAAACCTTCCTAGCAAGTTGCATCAGTATAGCTAAAATCTGTTACTTGTTTGGGAGGCAGAGGCATTTGAGGGTACAGACAAGGGCTCCAATTATGTTCATTATACAAACCACTCACCTTTTTCCACCAGTAGCTACAACTTCCCCCTTTCACATCTTTTCATATTCCAATGTCACTGCCAGGATTCCTGGCCATATTTTTCAGGATATTTGTAGAGGTCCTTCCAGAACCACTACTTGAGTATCCTAATTTCATCCTCCCCACAATCAATCTACTTCCTTCTTTTCCTTTTACATCAAGCACAAAACTTCTTTCCTCTGGAAGGATCCCCAGGCTTGATCCCATCCTTCTCTCACTTCTGTACAATTTGTGCCTTTGGCAATGCCATCTCCTTTTGTAGTTTTTGACGGTTTTTCATAGAGATAGTGGAGTTCCTACTCAGATTACTGGAAAATGACAAATCTTATTCATTTTAGTTCCCATACTTTCTTTTTTTTTAATAATTTTTATTTTTTATTCTTATTTATTTATTTTTATTTTATTTATTTATTTATTTTTTGAGACAGTCTCACACTGTCGCCCGGGCTGGAGTGCAGTGGCGCGATCTCGCTCACTGCAACCTCTGCCTCCTGGGTTCAAGCAATTCTCTTGCCTCAGCCTCCTGAGTAGCTGGGAATTACCGGCGCCCCACCACCACGCCCAGCTAATTTTTTGTATTTTTAGTAGAGACGGGGTTTCACCATGTTGGCCAGGCTGGTCTCAAACTCCTGACCTCATGATCTGCCCGCCTCAGCCTCCCAAAGTGCTGGGATTACAGGCATGAGCCACGGGGCCTGGCCTCCCATACTTTCTTTCTACTTCCTTTTCTCTCTTCTGCCTCATCTTCCATCCATCCCTGAGAGCATATAGCCCAGAATTTAACACTCTGGGAGCCCTGAAAACATATTAACCAACGTAGTTCACTTGATTGATGATCAGGTAGATGCTAGGTACATTTTGGGAGTATCTCATTAAATTCTCACCTAACCACACAGAGTGGATATTCATGTTCTATACTGAGCCTAGTAAACTACCATTTAAAGAAAGTAAGAAGCAAATCAGAGGTCACACAGCTATAAAGCTGACAGAGCCAACATTTGAACTTAAGTTCGTTACCCTATTTTCAAATTCTTTCTACTGCATTGAGAGGCTTAGTTTTGAGGCACTTCTCTCACCCAACTCCCACTCCAAGTCTTTTTCTTTCTTTCTTTCTTTCTTTTTTTTATTGAGACGGAGTCTTGTTCTTTTGCCCAGGCTGGAGTGCAGTGGCACAATCTCGGCTCACTGCAACCTCCGCCTCCCGGGTTCACACCATTCTCCTGCCTCAGCCTCCCGAGTAGCTGGGACTACAGGCGCCCGCCACCATGCCCGGCTAATTTTTTTGTATTTTTAGTAGAGTCGGGGTTTCACTGTGTTAGCCAGGATGGTCTCGATCTCCTGACCTCGTAATCCGCCCACCTCGGCCTCCCACAGTGCTGGGATGACAGGTGTGAGCCACCACACCCGGCTCCAAGGCATTTTCTGTCAAGGGTCAAACTGCAGTTCTATTCTCTCATCTAAAGTAGTGGTGATCACTGGGTGAATGGAAGATGTTCATGTCCTCTTGGGTTAGGATGAAAGACCTGTCTTCTGGGAGAGTTTTCTGTCCTGTAACAGCTCTTGCTCTTTAGAAAAATGTATAGGGCAAAGGTTTATTATTCAAACGTGAAGTTATTTACACTCTGGGATTCACTCTGGCTTTTTAGTGAGGTTTTGAATCCTTTGCATCATATTTAATATCACTAAAATAGGATATTTTTGTGAAACTGTTTGATCCTTCCCCTCAGTTTCCATTTGTGTGTTCTCTTTCTTCCCGTCTTGATAGGCACAGGCACTCAGAATCACTGGGCCAGAAAGAAGTAAGAGAGTAGGCCGGGCACGGTGGCTCATGCCTGTAATCCCAGCACTTTGGGAAGCCAAGGCGGGCAGATCACGAGGTTATGAGATCAAGACCATCCTGGCTAACACGGTGAAACACCGTCTCTACTAAAAATACAAAAAAAATAATTAGCTGGGCGTGATGGTGGGCGCCTGTAATCCCAGCTACTTGGGAGGCTGAGGCAGGAGAATGGCGTGACCTGGGAGGCGGAGCTTGCAGTGATCAGAGATCGAGCCACTGCACTCCAGCCTGGGCGACAAAGTGAAACTCCGTCTCAGGAAAAAAAAAAAAAAAAGAGAGAGAGTAAGGGAACATCTTTCGTTAATAAACCCTCTCTATTGCTCCCCACACACAATCCTAGTTTGGTTGCTGTCTTCGTCTGTTTGGGCTGCCATAACAAAATCTCTTGCACCGGGTAACTTATGAACAACAGAAATGTATTTCTGACAGTTCTGGAGGCCGGGAAATCCAAGATTAAGGCACTGGCAGATTCAGTGTCTGGTGAGGGCTGGCTTCCTCATAGACTGCCATCTGCCATCTGCGATCTAGCTGTGTCTTCACATGGTGGAAGGGCAAACAAGCTCCCTGGGGCCTCTTTTAGAAGGGCACTAATCTCATTTGCAAAAGTCCCCACCACTTAATACCACATTGCATTGGGGATTAGGTTTCAGAACATGAATTTTGGGGGAACACAAACATTCAGACCATAGCAGTTGTACATTCTTGGCAGTTCTGGCCTTGGTTTATTGTGCCAATAAAAGTAAGCTCATGAAGCTATTTCTATCATGTCTTTACAGGCATGTACAGGTGAGCCCAGTTTGGGAGTCACAAAACTTCAGTGAAATTAAAAAGCCACACTATGAGTACCTGCACTAGCACTTACCACTCTCACACACAAGAATCCCTGAGGCAGTGGGGATCCTACCCCTGTCTCAGGAGTGCACAGAGCCAATAACCAAATTACAACATTGACATTGTGAAGTTGCCTCTAGAAATAATTTCTCAATAAGTACACCTTTATATAATAAGTGAATGAACACAATGTAATTAAATGCTAGATTAACCTAAGAAACAAAAAGGAAAATAGCTTCTTTGTCCGTTCATCTACAGGATAATGAGGTCATGTTAAAAGACTTAGAAAAGGTTCAGTTCTCCTGCCGGGCGCCGTGGCTCATGCCTTTAATCCCAGCACTTTGGGAGGCCTAGGCGGGCGGATCACCTGAGATCAGGAGTTTGAGACCAGCCTAACCAACATGGAGAAACCACCCATCTACTAAAAATACAAAATTAGTCGGCCATGGTGGTGCATGCCTGTAATCCCACCTACTCGGGAGGCTGAGGCAAGAGAATCGCTTGAACCCAGGAGCTGGAGGTTGCAGTGAGCTGAGATTGTGCCATTGCACTCCAGCCTGGGCAACAGGCAAAACTGTCTCCAAAAAAAAAAAAAAAAAGGTTCAGTTCTCATAAACACAAATTTAATGAGCATTTTGAAGATCTCAAAATAAGTATTATATTTAATTAAACGTGTAATTAAGTATATACTGGTATGAATATCTACAAATAATTATTCATACTAATCTGAAAAACGTATGCATCATAATGTGTGTATATAATTGGTTGCTAGGGGATTTGTTTGTTCATTTTGCTGCAATAGATTTCTGTCTCTCGTCATATTCTGTTCAAGTACCTAAAATGATTGCTCACTTATTCGAAGCACACTAATGAAATAATACTCAGAGTAAAAGGATATATCACCCAGATTTTTCTATTAGAAGCTACACAATACTCAAAAATCTATCATTTAATATGTGTATGCAGGTCTAAAGCCCATAATAAGCAAAAATATATTTTCACGTTAAATGTATGGCTATTTACACTAGATGAGGTAAAGAAAGACTATAAATAGCTTCACATCTCGTTTTGTCACAGAATGAATGCAAGTCAGGCCAGGCTTTGCCGCCAAATGAGTTACAAAATTTTGGTTTTCAGAGTATTGTGAATTTTGGAATTGCAGAAAAGGATATGTGAAACTGTTTATAAACATGAGAAGATGTTTACAGATAGATGTTTTAGAAGTCAAATGAACAAATCTGAAGCAACAGACTAGAAATTCTATTCATGGAAATATGATAAAAATGCCAGTAAGAGGGCTGGGCGTGGTGGCTCACACCTATAATCCTAGCACTTTGGGAGGCCGAGGCGGGTGGGTCGGAGTCCGAGACCAGCCTGGGCAACATGGCGAAACCCCATCTCTACCAAAAATACAAAACCCCGTCTCTACCAAAAATACAAAAAATCAGTTGGGCATGGTGGCAGGTGCCTGTAATCCCAGCTACGGGGGAGGCTGAGGAAGGAGAATTGCTTGAACCTGGAAGGCAGAGGTTGCAGTGAGCCGAGATCACACCACTGCGTTCCAGCCTGGGCGACAGAGCAAGACTCCATCTCAAAATAAAATAAAATAAAATAAAATAAATTTTAAAATGCCAGTAAGGATCTCCATAAAGGCTATGTATGAAAACCTGACCATGTCACATCCATGACCCTATTACAGCAGGTCAGATTAATCTTACCCTAGTCCAGAGAACCACGGGAACCACTGAGTCCTAGTGGAGGGAAAGCCTGGAACAGATGTGAAGCAAGCTTGGCTTTTAGCAATTGAGAGTAAACAAACACCTGCTGAGTTTACTCTTCCTTGCCTGTCTTTCTAAGCCATCACTCTGAAGACCTAAAAAGCAGACATGACTCATACACACCTTCAGATGCTTTCAGTATTTGTTACACCTAGATCTGTGCAGAAACTGAATACCTTATTGGTGCATAATTTACAAAGAATTCTCACATTAGCTCTTCTAATTCTTTCTGTTGTTTCTATATGATAATATCTCCATTTGTCAGATAGGAAAACTGAAGCTCAGAAAGTTTGAATGAACTTCATAAGATCACACAGCCAATAAATACCAGAGCTTGGCCTCAAAGTCAAGTCTCAGGTCCTTCTGCCCTTCACTAACAGTGCTCCAGCCATGGTCGTCTGACTGCTGTTCTTTAAACTTCCTTAACTTTCAACTCAGAAACCAAACACACCCAGCTCCCTCTGCCTGGGCGTGGTGCTCTGTTCAGCCTCCTCACCCCACACCCATGTTGCTAACAGCTTAAATGGCACCTCCTCAGTAAAGCCTCCCCTGAATTCCCCAGACTTAGAACACTGTTTCCCCAATCCCACTAGCCACTCTCATATATGGCATACTGTAGTCATTGTTTTGTTTGTTTGTTTTTTAGAAAGAGAGAGAGAGAGAAAGAAAAGAAGAAACGAAAGAAAAGAAAAAAAGAAAAGAAAAGAAAATCAAAATCCATGTGGGTGTGGTGGCTCATGCCTGTAATCCCAGCACTTTGGGAGGCCGAGGCAGGCAGATAGCTGAGGTCAGGAGTTCCAGACCAGCCTGACCAATATGGTGAAACCCCGTCTCTACTAAAAATACAAAAATTAGCTGGGGGTGGTGGTGCATGCTAAAGGGAAGGGAAGGGGAAGGGGAAGGGAGAGAGGAAGGAAGGGAGGGAGGAAGGAAGGAAGGAACTTATCTCCGTCTGGGTAACATGAGGAGACCCTGTCTCTAACAAAAATTAAAAATATTAGCCGAGTGTGGTGGCATGAGCCTGTAGTCCCAGCTACTTGGGAGGCTGAGGCAGGAGGATCGATTTAGCCTAGGAAGTCAAGGTCAGTAAGCTGCGATCATGCCAATGCACTCCAGCCTGGGTGACAGAGAGAGATTCTGTCTCAAAATAAAAATAAAACCACAAAACTTATCTCAGTGGTAATTAAGGTAACTGTGGAATCGTGTATTTACATTTGCCTTCCTGACCAGACCATAAACTCCAGGAGGGCAGGGATTTTGACTATGTGGCTCATTTTATCCCACTAAAAGAGCTACATATTTTCTGACTCAGAGATGAGTTTCATTCCATTGTACAGAATGATCACACCAGTTTCCAAGTCTATTAATCTAGCGGTCTCTGTTGTTTGTTGAAGACCTACTAGGTATTGGTAAAATGGGTTGCTTTGTTCCATGGGCCATAATAGTGACACATTCTAAACACATTTAAGTCATTCCACCCTATAAGTTACAGGATAATAATAATAATAGCATTTATTTTACTATAACCAGTTTTGGGCTGTGTGTTTTACTTGGATTGTCTCACTTGCTCCTTATAGCATTCTCTGATATAGATATTAGTCTTCCCATTTACAAAATGGGAAAACTGAAACTCAAACATGTTTAATAATCTGCACAGTGTCTCACATGTAACAAGCCAACATGAGATTACTGATTCCAAAGACCCTGCTCAGCCCAATGACAAGATGTGGAAAGCACCCTCAAGGCACCCAGGGGTCTCTCTCCCTGAGAGTCCTGTGCATATCAGCAATGCTGCTAAGGATTAAATCACTGCGGTTATCACTATGTGGGTAAGATTTCTGTTAGTAGAAGATCCAGAAGATTCACCCTGCCATAGAGCAGGGGGCCTTGGCTGAGCCATAGGCAGAATCACTCTCCAAAAAGACTTACCAGTGTTTATCTGAATATTTTCTTTTAGCAATAACTTTACTTACTTGCGTTATTTGTAGGTGCTGCCATTTTGCTGTCCATGATGCTACTATGCTCAGTACCCTTACTGTACTGCCCAGTAGCCCTTACCATTAGCAAACTAAAGCTTCCTCACCAGCATTAGACCTGGCAAGACCTCTGTGCATCCCCCACCACCCATGAGTATTTTGATAGCATTGCAAGTATAATCTCTGGTGCATGCACAAATTCTGCTCCACATAGCAGCGCTAATGGTGGCCCACATCGGGAATAGGAGTAGAGCAAGATGTTACCAGGAAGAGGGCCTTACTTCTCTTCTCTCTCTTCTCGCTGCTTTTTTGTTTGTTTGTTTGTTTGTTTGGTTTGTTTTGTTTTTTAGATGGAGTCTTGCTCCATTGCCCAGGCGAGTGTAGTGGCGCAATCTCAGTTCACTGCAACCTCTGCCTCCCAGGCCTGTCCCAGCCTCCCGAGTAGCTGGGACTACAGATGCCTGCCACCACGCCTGGCTAATTTTTGTGTTTTTAGTAGAGATGGGGATTCACCTTGTTGGTCGGGCTAATCTCAAACTCCTGACCTCAGGTGATTCACACGCCTTGACCTCTCAAAGTGCTGGGATTATAGGCATGAGCCACTACGTTCAGCCATTCGCTGCTCTTAAGAAAGTACTTTTCCAAAGATCATTCTCCTTGGTCTTATCTTAAGATCCTGCTATGAAATAGGGACACGGGTGGAAAATTTTCACCTGTGCCTGCAGCAAACTTTCATTCTGTCTGAATAATTATAAGTAGGATGGGGGAGGGGAGAAGAAAAAGAAAGAGACCATGATCTGAAGAACCTTAACTGTTCCCCTGTTATCCCTGGTTACTGTCAAGCAGCTAGCAGGCTAGGCTAGGTGGGGTATCTTCTTTAACTCTACTCCTGCATTAGCTGTTCTAAATCCTAGAACTCATGCCCTGTTTGAAATTTCTTTCCCTATGCCCAACTCAAGTGATGCCATCCTATTTTCTATTTTCCACCATGGGAAAAATGGAAAATAACAGGAGAAATGTATTAAGAAAGCATTCTTGAATTTGAGTTTGTTAACTTTTTTTTTTTTTTTAACAGTCTTGCTCTGTCACCCAGGCTGGAGTGCAGTGGTGCAAGCTTGGCTCACTGCAATCTCCACCTCCTGGGCTTAAGCAATTCTTGTGCCTCTGCCACCTGAGTAGTTGGGATTATAGGCATGCACCACCACGCCCAGCTAATTTTTGTAATTTTAGTAGAGATGGGGTTTCACCATGTTGGCCAGGCTGGTCTTGAACTCCTGACCTCAAGTGATCCTCCCACCTCGGCCTCCCAAAGTGCTGGGATTACAAGCATAAGCCACCACCCCCGGCCTGAATTTGTTAACTTCTTACCAACATTTTACAAAGAAGATTGAAGGTAATGTGGGTTCTAAGACTGAAGAGTACAAGGTAAGCTGGTGGTTAATGGGGAGGAGGGATGATGGATGAACTGGTCAGGGAAGAGGATGAAATGGCTCAAAATAGAGGTACAAATAGAATGGGCTGGGCTCCTCCAACCATTCCTTGTGATTTTATTTTTACTTTTTTTTTTTTTTTTTTGGTGGAGTTTCACTCTTGTTGCCCAGGCTGGAGTGCAATGGTGCGATCTCGGCTCACTGCAACTTCCACCTCCTGGATTCAAGTGAGTCTCCTGCCTCAGCCTTCTGAGTAGCTGGGAATGCAGATGCGATCTCGGCTCACTGCAACTTCCACCTGGGTTCAAGTGATTCTCCTGCCTCAGCCTTCTGAGTAGCTGGGAATGCAGGCGTGTGCCACCACACATGGCTAATTTTTTGTATTTTTAATAGAGATGGGGTTTTGTCATGTTGCCCAGGCTGGTCTTGAGCTCCTGACCTCAGATGATCCGCCCACCTCGGCCTCCCAAAGTGCTGGGATTACAGGTGTGAGCCACCGCGCCTGATCTATTTTTACTTTTTTAAAAGACAGGTCTCACTCTATTGCCCAGGCTGCTCTTGAACTCCCGGCCTCAACCAATTCTTCCTGCTCAGCCTCCTGAGTAGTTGGGACTACAGCACTCACAACTGTGCCTGACCCTTCTCTTAATTTTAACTCCTGAGTGATTTTCTTCTCTGGACCCCAAGGAGTCATGATATCTCTAAATTATATCCTGAAGTTATTTCAACTTTAGAAAATAAAGTTTTAGGCCTGGTTCAGTGGCTGACACCTGTAATCCCAATACTTTGGGAGGCTGAGGCAGGCAGATTGCTTGAGCCCAGGAGTTTGAAGCTAACATGGCAAAACCCCATCTCTATCAAAAAAAAAAAAAGAAGAAGAAGAAGAAGAAGAAAAGAAAAAAGGCTAGGCGCGGTGGCTCACACCTGTAATCCCAGCACTTTGGGAGGCTAAGGTGGGCAGATCACGAGGTCAGGAGTTCGAGAACAGCCTGACCAACATAGTGAAACCCTGTCTCTATTAAAAATACTAAAATTAGCCAGGTGTGGTGGTGGACACCTGTAATCCCAGCTACTCAGGAGGCTGAGGCAGGAGAATCACTTGAACCGGAGAGGCAGAGGTTGCAGTAAGCTGAGTTTGCGCCATTGCTCTCCGCCTGGGTGACAGAGTGAGACACCATCTCAAATAAAAAAGAAAAGAAAAAAAAGATCTTGGAATGCTTTTTTTCTGCCTGTGTATTGATATTATTCTTAAGGGGCTCATAAGAAAACTAAATATATATATTTACATATATATATATATATATATATATATATATAAAATCACCCAGGTTGGAGTGCAGCGGTGCAATCTCAGCTCACTGCAATATCTGCCTCCAGGGTTCAAGCAATTCTTTTGCCTCAGCCTCCCCAGTAGCTAGGATTTCAGGCATGCACCACCATGCCTGGCTAATTTTTGTATTTGAAGTAGAGACAGGGTTTCGCCATGTTGGCCAGGCTGGTTTTGAACTCTGGACCTCAAATGACCCTCCTGCCTAAAGTACTGGGATTACAGGGGTGAGCCACCATGCCTGGCCCAGAAAATATTATTGTTATTTAATATGACCTGCCATAACTACCATTAAAAGTAGTACAGGTGTGCAAAAGAAACTTATCTGGCTATGGCTGGGCGCGGTGCTCACGCCTGTAATCCCAGCACTTTGGGAGGCTGAGGCAGACTGATCATGAGGTCAGGAGATCAAGACCATCCTGGCTAACATGGTGAAACCCTGTCTCTACAAAATATACAAGAAAAAATTAACCGGGCATGGTGGCGGGTGCCAGCTACTCGGGAGGCTGAGGCAGGAGAATGGCGTGAACCTGGGAGGCGGAGCTTGCAGTGAGCAGAGATCGCGCCACTGCACTCCAGCCTGGGCAAGAGAGCAAGACTCCGTCTCAAAAAGAAAAGAAAAGAAAAGAAATCTTACCTGGTTGTAAGATTTTTTTCTCATTTAGTCAATAAATATTTATGGAATAGGGCAGTTTGGGATCACACACATGAGCTAAGCATGATGTCAGCCTTCATAGCTCCTACAATGTGGTATGGTGATTTTTTTTTCTTTTTGAGATGGGAGTCTCACTGTGTCAACCAGCCTCAAACAGTCCTTCCATCTCAGCCTCCCAAGTACCTGGGACTACAGGTGCATGCCACCATGCCCAGCTACTTTTTTGTATTTTTGATAGAAACAGGGTTTTGCCATGTTGGCCAGGCTGATCTCAAATTCCTTTCCTCAAGTGATCCGCCTGCCTTGGCCTCCAAGAGTGCTGGGATTACAGGCATGAGCCACTGCACCCAGCCAATGATTTTAAAACTGGAATACAGAAAGAGAAGAAGAAAGTCATGCTCCATCTTTATTATTTAAAAATCAGAACAGATACACATATTTGTTGTGAGCACTAATTAAAATATCCTTAAAGTTTCCTTACCTTGGAGTGGAATTATTTGCATATGTATACACATGATGCTGACTTTAGAAGAAAAGTTACAAGTTAAAACACGTTTGATTAATAAAAGAAAAAGAAATAAATTATACATAAATTTAGCTTTGTTGCTGAAAATCACCTCTCCAAACATAGAGTTCAGGTTGGGGCAAATAAAAAATTGCATAAAACAAAAAGGCTAAGAAATGGTACAAAAAACTCAGAGAACCACTACTTCACGTTTCCCAATAAAGCATCTTTTATATTTATAAAAGTTAAGCCTGCATATCTCTGCCCCCAATTGCAGCAGAAACACCTGAAAAAGAATGCCAGTCTGGTCTTGCTCTGACAATGGTTTTCTGACTGACCTTGAGCCTGTCACAACCCGTCTGGCCTCAATTTCATCAACTGTAAAATAAGAATAAAACTATTTGATATCTTTAACTCACATACTATTGTGAGAAATAAATACAATCATAGACAAATGTTTTCAGAATGTGAAAATGCTATAGGAACACACTTTTTCTCCAGTGGCTGGCATAAAAGTGTTGGTATGCTATACCACCAAGTCATTAGATATGAGTTAATTTCTGGATTACTGTTTCAGTAAGAATAAGCTCTACACAACTTCAGCAAGTGATGTTGGTATGTCATCCACAAAGTTCTATCACCCTATTCCATAGCATACCCCTGTTGAACTTCCCACATCCCTGTCTTCCCTTAGCTTCCTGTATCCAACCTCAGCGCAATAGCTCAGTTTGACCATTAGATGGTACCAGTTACAAGGCAAACTTAGGTCCCTTCAGAAACTGAGCATTTCTAAAAAGCAAATATTTTTTCAGGTTTGTTTGTAACTTAAACAACAAAAAAATCATTATTTTAAAGGCCATATGCTCACTGTGAAAATATATCAGGTGGTGTATGAAATAATAAGTAAATTATCTGCCGGGCGCGGTGGCTCACGCTTGTGATCCCAGCACTTTGGGAGGCCTAGGCGGGCAGGCAGATCACGAGGTCAGGAGTTGGAGACAAGCCTGGCCAACACAGTGAAACCCTGTCTCTACTAAAAATACAAAAATTAGGCCGGGCGCGGTGGCTCACGCCTGTAATCCCCGCACTTTGGGAGGCCGAGGCGAGCGGATCACGAGGTCAGGAGATCGAGATCATCCTGGCTAACACGACGAAACCCCGTCTACTTAAAAAAAAATACAAAAATTAGCCGAGGGTGGTGGCGGGCGCCTGAAATCCCAGCTACTCAGGAGGCTGAGGCAGGAGAATCGCTTGAACCTGGGAGGCGGAGGTTGCAGTGAGCTGAGATCACGCCACTGCACTCTAAGAGTGAAACCATGTCTCAAAAAAAAAAAAAAGTCAAAAATACTAATAAAAATACTAATCTCGTAGTTAACAGATTGCTGTGACCTAGAGCAAGTAAAGGTGTAATTATCAGCCTATAGGGGTTAGAGTGGCAAGAAGATGCCTGAGGGTGAGCCTACAGCCTAAAAGATAATAGAATACAAAGGCTGAAGACCTACAGGCAGGGATTCTTTGTCATTCATTCTTTCAGCAAACTTATTCTAATATGTATCCCTCACTATTCAATGCCCAGGAGGGCACAGGGAAAATAAGACGAAGTCCTGCCCTCACTGGCTAACATTCTAAGCACAGGTGCTGCACAAGAGGTGTTATGTTTTTTGGGGGAGCCAGACACAGGCCTAAGCACTTTATGTACCTTGTCTCATTTAATCCTCACATCAGCACCACGAGGTGACAGAATTATCATTTTGCAGTTAAATAAATTGATATTTCTTCATGGCCAGGTGCAGTGGCTCACGCCTGTAATCCCAGCACTTTGGGAGGCTGAGGCGGGTGGATCACCTGAAGTCGGAGTTCGAGACCAGCCTGACCAACATGGAGAAACCCCATCTCTACTAAAAATACAAAATTAGCCGGGCATAGTGGCGCATAGCCTGTAATCCCAGCTACTCGGAAGGCTGAGGCAGGAGAATCACTTGAATCCAGGAGGTGGAGGTTGCGGTGAGCCGAGATCGCGCCACTGCACTCCAGCCTGGGCAACAAGAGCAAAACTCCGTCTCAAAAAAAAAAAAAAAAAAAAGAGAGATTTCTTTAAGCTCTTTGCCTAGGGTCACAGGTCTTTCCACAGGACCGTAGACTAGAGTCAGATGTGTTCCTCAATCAATTAGGAAAGGGTGGTGCTGGAATTTGCATCTGAGTATTCCAAGCTTCTATATTCTCATATTCTGGAATGAGGATATTATGAGTCCTGAAACAACTCTAGAAATTCTAGGCTACATAATTATCCCTCCATAACGTGTTCTCTGCCAGAATAATAATGAAAAAAAAGTACTGTGGTGGCCAGACCCCAAGATGATTGGCGAAGTGAAAGTTGCCCAGTTCCAAAATGGCCACCACCGCACTTTCCTGGCGTCGGAGCGACTACGTAGTGACAGAAGGACCATCAGCAGGTGGGTGCTCACAGGGACTGTGCCAGTTGCCAAACTGGCCACCTGGGCCTTTCTTCTCCTGAGCAACAGCCAAGCAACATTATAGGCTTCAGGCCTACCTAGCCCAGGTTGGGTTAAAGCAGATAAACGAAGCGGACAGCGGAGGAAAAGCACGTAACCAAGTGCAGTGGGTCTGAAGCGAAAGGCAAGAAAAGCTCTGCCCTTAGGAACGGGGTGTCACTGCGCGGCTCGCAGGCACCTCTCTTTGACCTATTTATAATCTGCGCCTTATTCTCCGCCCCCAAAGGCTGCTGGCAACCAATTCTCGGTGGCGAAGTCGTGACGTCAGCTGTTGCGGGTCAGATTGGGAGAGCTTCCTGGTCCTTACCTAGCAAGATTCTGCCGCTAGGTGGCGAAAAGCGAAGGGGCCAAAGAAATGGAAAGAAGGCGAGGAAAAGCGGGAGAAGATGGGGAAGGAAAATGTATATTCTTGTATCATCCTACAGCTAGGCAAAAATATTAGGATAATGTGGCCTAACCTCCAGTTCTATGTTGGCTGGAAAATCCAGGAATGGGAAGCTCACTCCCGTAGTTCCCACTCATTCCCACCACGGTTGGACAGCTCTGAAGGAGGGAAAATTCTTTCTTTTGAGCTGAAATCTGCCTTCAGAGTCTTGCACCCAACTGTTCTACCCCACGGGGACCTACAGAACAGCCCAAAGCCTCTTACGCAGGACAACCCATAGCAGTTTGATTAAAATCAGCGCAAACCCATTCCCATTTGGGGAGGGGGGAGGGGGAGGGGCAAGCCTCAGTGCCTGACTCACTTGACTCACAAGAAGCTGAATGTTTTTCCTTTTGAAAGATAAAAATATTGGTGAATCTCAGACTAACAATAGGGAATACATAAAAATGGAAAAAATGTTGATAGATAAAATTTAAACCTTTGGTAGAACATAATTAGTTTTTTGTTCTCTACATTTTTCCATATCGTTTCTAATTTTTCTACACTGTATGTGTTACTTAAAGAAATAAACCAGTAGGCCAGGCGCGGTGGCTCACGCCTGTAATCCCAGAACTTTGGGAGGCCGAGGCGGGCGGATCACGAGGTCAGGAGATCGAGACCATCCTGGCTAATACGGTGAAACCCCGTCTCTACTAAAAAAATACAAAAAATTAGCCAGGCATGGTGACGCACCCCTGTAATCCCAGCTACTCAGGAGGCTGAGGCAGGAGAATGGCGTGAACCCGGGAGGCGGAGCTTGCAGTGAGCCGAGATCGTGTCACTGCACTCCAGACTGGGCGACAGAGCAAGACTCTGTCTCAAAAAAAAAAAAAAAAAGAAAAAGAAATAAACCAGTATGGCCGGGCGCGGTGGCTCATGCCTGCAATCCCAGCACTTTGGGAGGACGAGGCGGGTGGATCACGAGGTCAGGAAATCGAGCCCATCCTGACCAATATGGTGAAACCTCGTCTCTACTAAAATACAAAAAATTAGCCGGGCGTGGTGGCGGGTGCCTGTAGTCCCAGCTACAAAGGAGGGTGAGGCAGGAGAATCCCTTGAACCCGGGAGGTGGAGGTTGCAGTGAGCCAAGATCGTGCCATTGCACTCCAGCCTGGGCAACAAGAGCGAAACTCCGTCTCAAAAAAAAAAAAAGAAAGAAAAGAAAAAGAAATAAAGCAGTATGAAAGAGCAGCCCCTGGCTGCATTCACCACAGCACCCATGCTCACACATGCTACAGGCGCTCACTTGCTGGGAGCTGCCTCACATTGATTCGGATCAGTGTTCTCATTTCTCCGACCTACCTAGGAAGCATCTGGCTAAATTGATGTAAATTAGACATTTTATAGTCTATCGGTCATTGAGCCTCAGTGGAATATCTAGACCAATTTAAACACACAAATATTATGGGAAATAGGGCCACAAAAGTAGAAAAGAAAACGTGAATTCCTCTTTATATTTATGCCACTAGAGGGAGTTCCAGAAGAAAATCACTGCATGTAAGGGCTAATGACTGTATTTACTGAGTGGTTACTGTGTACCATTCACAGTTCACAGGGACTCATTCATGTCATTCTCATGATAACCCTGATGAAGTGGATGATATTATTCCCTCACTCACTAAGGAGAAAGCCAGGGTACAGTGAAGTATACAACTTTGTGCAGGGCAATTTATCAATATTTATTGAAATTACCAAAAAACATGCTCTCTGAACAAACTATTCTACCAGTGTAGAAAGCAGAGTAAACTTCATGGGTGAGTGACCAGGGCAGTCACACAAGGGCCCCATGCTTAGAAGGGATACTGTGTTTGGGTTCTAAAGCTCTGTGGTTCCTGTCTTGAAATTCTTAATAATTTTATCTTTCAATTTGTGTCTTATAATGAAGTCCGATGAGAAAGCAGAACATGGGCTAGAGACTTTTGGAGCCTGGCTCAAGCGAGGTCCTGCTCCCCATGCCTCCCAGCCTCCCCAGGACTGGTTTTCAGCTGCCGGCTCCACCACCTTCTGTGCAGGCTCGCTCCCAGCAGGGGCCTGGGAACAGTGGAAAGGAGGGGAGCGGTCAGGCATACACACCTCCCTTGCCAAATGGAAGGCATGGCCCTAGGCACTTGTGAAGATCTGCACTTCCCCCTAGGTACTCCTGTGCCTGGAGTGTGACATTAAATTAAAAAAAAAAAGGCCGGGCGCGGTGGCTCACGCCTGTAATCCCACCATTATGGGAGGCCAAGGCAGGCGGATCACGAGGTCAGGCGATCGAGACCATCCTGGCTAACACGGTGAAACCCCGTCTCCACTAAAAATACAAAAAAATTATCTGGGCATGGTGGCGAGCGCCTGTAGTCCCAGCTACTTGGGAGGCTGAGACAGGAGAATGGCTTGAACCCGGGAGGCGGAGGTTGCAGTGAACCGAGATTGCGCCACTGCACTCCAGCCTGGGCGACAGAGCGAGACTCCGTCTCAAAAAAAAAAAAAAAAAAGAAAAGAAAAAAACCCCACATAATAGGTTGACAGTGGAACCACAGAAAAAAGGAAAAGGTTGGGTTTTTTTTCTGCTTTTTATTTTCTATTTTATTATTTTTTAATAGATTTATTTAACTAGAGATGGGGTCTCACTATGTTGTAAAGGCTGGACTCGAGACCCTGGGCCCGAGCGATCCTCCAACCTGGTCCTCCCAAAGTGATGGGATTACAGGCGTGAGCCACTGCACCTGGTCTTTTCCTGCTATTAAACAAGGAGCTCCATAGTTTCATTTTGCCCCTCAAAATATGTAGCTGGCCTTAGTAGACTGATATTCATTGCCAAATTATATGTAAGAGCAAAAAGGTTGAAAATGATGGCCTGACATTGATCAATTTGTGCCTTTAGGTAACATATAACTGTAATATAACTGCAATACAACTAGAATATAACTCATAAAGGCAAGAATCTTGTCTGCCTTGCTGAAAGTTTTATAATCAGGGCCTAATATAAAGTATGACACATAGCACTTGCTTTTAAATATGTATTGATTTAAATTAATTGAGTACATTTTTGCTTCATCCTAGTAAAAATAGGTATTTAAAAAACTGAAACAGTCTAAATGTCTTGGGATGCTACTTAAATAACTATATTATATTCATCCAATAAAATATTGTAAGCTGTTTAAAAATAACAAGGATGTTCTTTAGGTACTGATAAGGAAAGAGCTTCAAGATAAATTGTTACCATTTATGTAAAACAGGTGGGAGAAGGGAGAGGGAGGGATGTGTGAGCGCTACTTGCAGTACTCACAGGCAGTGACTTTCGTGGAGCGCCCTCTAGTGGTATATATATACAAACGGAAGGATTTAGAGAAAATACAGATCGGCTTTAGCTGGCTGAGATTTATTTTCAAAGCATGTTACTTTATAAGAATCAATTTTTATTTAAAAAATTTTTTTGAGATAGGGTCTCACTCTGTCGCACAGGTTGGAGTGCAGCAGCACGATCAGTGCTCACTGCAGCCTCTCTCTCTTGGGCTCAACAGGTGCATGTCACCACGTCCAGCTAACAATCAATTTTCAAAAGTACAAAAAAGCCATATTATGTATTAATGTGGAATTATGAATTAAGTAGACAACAAGAATCAAAACAGGGTGTCTATTATCACTTCTGATAACATAAATAATGTAAAGATACATATTTTACAGATTATCTGTAAAAGCTTATACAGTACTGTTGCTGGGTATTTATGTAGGAAAGCTACCATTTATTGAATGCTTACTATTTCACATATGGACAGCATAGAGCATGTTAAAAAATTACCACACACATTTACTGTATTCAATGTGTCACTCTGAATATATTACTGTGTACATGGTCTGTCATTGGACATGGTGAGAGATGCAGATTAAGCTGAAATTACTGAGGACAGCAACACTGGAAGAAAATTGAGCTGGGTGTAGTGGCTCAGCCTGTAATTCCAACATTTCAGAAGGCTGAGGCAGGAGGATCACTTGAGTCCAGGAGTTTGAGACCAAGGGAAAGAAAAGAAAAGAAGCTTTCATTTAGCCAGGCATGCTGGCACATACCTGTAGTTTCAGCTACTCAGGAAGTTGAGGCATAAGGTTCACTTAAACTTGAGAGGTAAAGGCTGCAGTGAGCCCTGATCACGCCACTGCTCTCCAGCCTGTGACAGAGAGAGACCCTGTCTCAAAAACGAGAAAGAAAGAAAAAAAGAGGCAACTCAAGAACTCAGGAATACTTGCAGGATCTCATAACATATGCTATACAAAATCAATTAAAATAATATTTAAATGCTGAAAGAAATGAGCAGCTCCCAGGGTGATACAGGGTGGTTTCACTTCTTGGACACATCTACACTGAGCTCTATTCCTGGCAATACCTGATGTTCCCATACCCCAGATTTCTTTATTTTATTTTGAGACGGAGTTTTGCTCTTCTTGCCCAGGCTGGAGTGCAATGGCGGGATCTTGGCTCACCGCAATCTCCGCCTCCTGGGTTCAAGGGATTACCCTGCCTCAGCCTCCCGAGTAGCTGGGATTACAGGCGCACGCCACCATGCCCAGCTAATTTTTGTATTTTTAGTAGAGGCAGGGTTTCTCCATGTTGGTCAGGCTGGTCTTG
Source organism: Homo sapiens (assembly GCF_000001405.40). Lineage (NCBI taxonomy): Eukaryota > Metazoa > Chordata > Mammalia > Primates > Hominidae > Homo > Homo sapiens. The sequence goes on from NT_167245.2 coordinate 920,497, forward strand.
AACTCCCAACCTCAGGTAATCTGCCCGCTTCGGCCTCCCAAAGTGCTGGGATTACAGGCGTGAGCGGGCCCAGCCCCTATACCCCAGATTTCTGCAAGTGGCAACACCACTGGCTTCATTTTGCTGGTGGCCCCTCTGGCCTTCCCTTGTATATATCACCTTTGCCCAAAGACCATGTCAGCCAAGGGACTGCTCTCACAGCTCCAGGAATCCTCCCCTTTCAGGAAATTTGAGGCAGTTGAGGGCATGAAAGTAAATAAGCTGAGCTCATCAGAGGCCTTGTATTGTGGTGGTTAAAAGAGCCAGTTCTAGGACTAGAAAGCCTGGCTTGAAATCCCAGCTCTGCCACTCCCTAGTGGTGTGACTTTAGCAAGTTCCTTTACCTCTTTTGTACCTCCCTTTTCTCACCTGTAAGATATGGGTGATAATAGTTTAATATTTGTTTTGTTGTTGTGAGGATTAAAGGTGTTAATGCAAGTAAACCACTTAGAACCACAGCACATAGAATATCTCAGTAAGGTGGTTAGTTTTTTTTATTGTTGTTTTCAGAGATGCTGTGATTTCTCCAAAGTGGCTGTGATGGCTCGGCAGGCTCCTGACCCTCTCTGCTCCCACATGCCTCCACCCTCATCCTGATCTCCCATCCAGCTTTTGACAGCTTGCTTGGTGCTGGACAATTGCACACATCTTACCACCCCCAAATCCTGCCCAGAAGCATCTTGTGCATAACTCTCCTACCTGAATATGCAACAGGGAGAAAGAGCGTCCCAGGACATTTTAGGTTTTTGAAGAAAAAAAAACCCCTTTGGTAAAAAGCCAGAGATCCACAGCGGCCACTTTTTCCATGGGATTGACCCCTGCAATCTTGACTTTCAACCACACAGCACCAGAGTAGCCAAACATTGCTTGTGTCCAAACGCTGGCTGCCTTGAAGGGTGAAAGAATAAGCAGTTCCCAAACTCAGCTGACCTTAATGTCCTTCTAGCTCCTTACGCCCATCTCGGACAAAAGCAGAAATGTATGTCTCAGTTGTGTTTCTACCCCTTGCTGCCCAATATAAATTTTTGTGTTGCCCAATATAATTTTTTGTGACGATGGAAATGTTCTGTATTTGTGTTGTCTGATGAGATAACCACTAACTGTAGTGCTATTGAGCATTTGAAACATGGCTAGTGTAATCAATGAACCAAATTTTTAATTTTATTTAATTGTAATTAATTTTAAGTGGCCACATGCAGGGAGTGACTGCTGCATTGGACAGCACGGCTCTAAATTGAGCCTTTTTTCCTTATTTGGTGAGGCATACTTGCCTTAAGATTGGGAAGTCTATTTTTGGAACCTGCTACCAATGCTGGTCTCACACTTGCAATTCTCAGCTGAGCCAAGAGGTGAGAGAAAGGTCATTTTCCATTCCAGATCTCACTCTCCCCTGTGACACTGAGGAAACTGGCAAGTGATGTGAAGGCTGGAGAGCGTGTCCTGTATGCTGGCTCTGTCCCTTCTGCCTGTGTTGACTGACATAGTTAGTTGCTGCCCTTGCTGGTCTCCCTTCCTCCAACCTTGCCTCTCTGAGCACACCTGACATTCATCTCATGACTTCCCTAAAAACATTCTTTGGGAACAAGAAACTAACAAATCCCAAGTGACCTATCACATATACAAACATACAGGGCAGAGTTTGGATTCGCGGTAGAAGAAAGGGAGGTTAGACATTAAGAAGAATGGTCTGGTGATGACAGTTGTGAGATAATAGAAACAGGAAAAAGAAATCTAAGTTTTCTTTCTTTTTTTAAGAACCAATAATAATTTCTCTCTTTTGACTAGTCAGTAGGGCTGGGGTGGATTGGAGGAAGCTTACATATTCCATGAACAAGCCTCTTCCTAAGGTCCTGTAAGTGATCCTGCCCCACTGATTAGCCCCTAGAAGACCCTTCAAAGGTTGGATCTCCAGGAGGGAGTGGGGGAGGAAAGCCCTGTACCAGGCAGCCTCTGCTCCATTGCTCTGGGGGGGTGGGGAAGGCAAACCCTGGTCATCCCCTCAGTCTGTAGCCCTTTTGTGTGAGTGCCTGGCAAGGGTGACGTGGGGCTGTTTCTGCGGGCACAGCTGCAGCAATTACCGGAGTGGAGGCAGGGCCCAGGCAGCACTGCCCTCCAAGATCTTCCCTTGGGCTTTTCAGCAGTAAGGGGACATGCACCCCAAGGGCCTCCACTTGGCCTGACCTTGCTGCGGGGGCTCTCTGTCCCCAGGAACAGTAGAGATGGCAAGCTTATCGAGACCCTCTCTGCCCAGCTGCCTCTGCTCCTTCCTCCTCCTCCTCCTCCTCCAAGTGTCTTCCAGCTATGCAGGTAAGACATGTTTTTTTTCCTGCCCTGGGGAGACCCTGAAAACAGAAAGGCTAGTTTCCTGGGGCTTAGCTCCTTCAAACATCCTCAAGTTGCTATATTATCTTTCTAAAACATAGACCTACTGACATGCCTCCCTTCCTCAGAAACCTTCCGTGGGTGGTTCTTACAGCCTTCAAGATGGAGTCCAGACTCTTTTTTTTTTTTGAGACAGAGTCTCCCTCTGTTGCTCAGGCTGGAGTGCAGTGGCATGATCTCGGCTCACTGCAACCTCAGCCTCCCTGGTTCAAGCGATTCTCCTGACTTGGCCTCCCAAGTAGCGGAGACTACAGGCGCCTGCCACCACACCCAGCTAAATTTTTTCTTTTCTTTTTTTTTTTTTTTTTTTTGTATTTTAGTACAGACGGGGTTTCACATGTTGGCCAGGATGGTCTCGATCTCTTGACCTGCTGATCCGCCCGCCTCGGCTTCCCAAAGTACTGGGATTATGGGCGTGAGCCACTGCACTAGGCCTAATTTTTTTATTTTTAGTAGAGATGGGGTTTCACCATGTTGGCCAGGCTGGTCTGGAACCCCTGACCTCAAGTGGTCTGCCCTCCTCAGCCTCCCAAAGTGCTGAGATTACAGGCATGAGCCATTGCGTCTGACCCAGACTCCTTAATGTGACTAACTCAAGGCTTTCCTTGAACTACTTCTTACTTGTCTTTCCAGCTTTGTCTTTTCACCTCTCAAATTGAGATAAAATAATAACAACCTCTTGGAGTTCTCATCAGGATTACATGAAATGAGATATGTAACATGCTTAGCAGTGCCTGTCCATAGTAAATCTCAATAAATGTTTGTGGAATTATAATATCTTGTCATGTTTGAGACTTTGCTCTGCATAATCAGGCACCAGTAGGTTTTTATAAAGGAACCCGGCTGTCACGTGCAGAGGAGAAATAAACAGAAAGTTTCCCATCCTCAGGGAGCCACCTGACTGACAGAGGCACAGTGCATCCACTCTCCAGGTCTAGGGGAGAAAGCAGCCTTATTTCTTAGTAGCTCAGAATCTGACTTGAGAAACACATCCACATAGAAAAAAACAAGGAACTTTTTCGGGTCAGGGTCCGGGAGCCACAGTGAGGTGGAAGATACAGGGGAAGGAAGAGGGAAATAGAGCCATCCCCAGGGTGGAAGATCTCAGAAGAGAATTTGGGAAACAAGGTATGAACAAGGACTGAATAGTGAGAAGTGATGGAGAGACAGTTAAAGTAGATGGAGTGACAAAAGCAAAACCTCTAAGGGTAGAATAGGCAGCAATTTGGCCAAGTCCTAACAGGGAGGCCCATAGGAGGATTCAACCTCAAGATGCTGTGCCACATTCCAAGAGGGAACCTAAAGGCTGGGCTGAAGAGTCAGAGATGGCTACAGCTGGCAAAAAGATGGGCAGATGCTGAGAGGAGATGATTGCTAAAATGTTCTGTCCAGGACATTCACAGTATCTCTATAACCAGAGTCTTTTTTGTCGTTGTTGTTCTCAAGAAGGAAACTTGAGGCCGGGTGTGGTGGTTTATGCCCATAATCCCAGCGCTTTGGGGCCAAGGCAGGCGGATCACCTGAGGTCAGGAGTTCGAGACCAGCCTGGCCAACAGTGTGAAACCTCATCTTTACTAAAAATACAAAAATTAGCTGGATGCGGCGGTAGGTGCCTGTAATGCCAGCTACTCGGGAGGCTGAGGCAGGAGAATCACTTGAACCTGGGAGGCGGAGGTTGCAGGGAGGCGGAGGTTGCAGTGAGCCAAGATTGCACCACTGCACTCCAGCCTGGGCGACAGAGAGTAAGACTGTCTCAAAAAATAAATGAATAAATAAAAAGGAAGAAGAAGAAGAAGAACAATTGCAATCCTCCCTGGCTCTAGAATGTCATTTAAAAGTCGAGTGTCTTCTTCCTTCCCTGTTTTGAAGCAGCCCTTCTCATGACAGGCTTGCTTGCCAAGGTTCCCTCTGACCTTAAATCTCTTCCTTTTGGTGTCTTGGACAGGGCAGTTCAGAGTGATAGGACCAAGACACCCTATCCGGGCTCTGGTCGGGGATGAAGTGGAATTGCCATGTCGCATATCTCCTGGGAAGAACGCTACAGGCATGGAGGTGGGGTGGTACCGCCCCCCCTTCTCTAGGGTGGTTCATCTCTACAGAAATGGCAAGGACCAAGATGGAGACCAGGCACCTGAATATCGGGGCCGGACAGAGCTGCTGAAAGATGCTATTGGTGAGGGAAAGGTGACTCTCAGGATCCGGAATGTAAGGTTCTCAGATGAAGGAGGTTTCACCTGCTTCTTCCGAGATCATTCTTACCAAGAGGAGGCAGCAATGGAATTGAAAGTAGAAGGTGAGTAGTGCCATATAATATTAGGTATTAACTGTTGGGTGGCCAAGAACAATTATTCTCTCAACTGAGATGAGATCCCTCAACCCAAACATCTCAGTCCTGGGAATGATTTCCATAAAAATGTACACATCAATAAACAGAAACTCATGCTTAGGGATGTCTGTTGCATCATTATTCAGAGTAGCAAGGAAATTGGGATCAAAATCAATGCCTTTGAGTAGGTAAGTGACAGAATGAACAATGGTAGCCATACTGTGAATATTATGCAGGCATTAAAAAGATTATTTTAGCACTAGGCCAGATGGTTTGGAGGCCTTCTATAAGGTATTATTGAGTGATAAGAGCAAGCTGCTGTAGGATACAAAAACAAAAACAAAACCCTAGGGCATGGTGGTTTGCCTCGCAGCTACTCAGGAGGCTGAGACGGGAGGCTGGCTTGAGCCCAGGGGTTTGCAGTTACAGTGAGCTATGATTGCACCACTGCACTCCAACCCGGGTGACAGAGCAAAGACCTTCACCCCCACTCCCTACCCGTCTCTAAAAAAAACAAAAACAAAAACAAAAAAACCCTTGGGCCCAGCGCCGTGGCTCACGCCTGTAATCCCAGCACTGTGGGAGGCCGAGGTGGGCAGATCACAAGGTCAGGAGATCGAGACCATCCTGGCTAAAACGGTGAAACCCCGTCTCTACTAAAAATACAAAAAAAAAAAAAAAATTAGCCAGGCATGGTAGCAGGCGCCTGTAGTCCCAGCTACTCGGGAGGCTGAGGCAGGAGAATGGCGTGAACCCAGAAGCGGAGGTTGCAGTGAGCCAAAATCCTTCCACTGCACTCCAGCATGGGGGACACAGCGAGACTCCGTCTCAAAAAAAAAAAAAAACCCCTGTATTTGTGAGCGCACACACACACACACACACACACACCTGTGCTTGGTCCTAGTGAATAAGCAAGTAAATCAAATGTCTAAATATAATTATAGAAAGGAGATGTCACCTTTTGGCTGTACCTCCACTATTTCATTCTGCAGAATTGCAGAATTTCTTTTTTTTTTCCTTTCTTTCTTTTCTTTTTTTTTTTGACACAGAGTCTCGCTCTGTCACCCAGGCTGGAGTGCAATGGCGCCCTCCGCCTCCTGGGTTCAAGTGATTCTCCTGCCTCAGCCTCCCGAGTAGCTGGGATTACAGGTGCCCACCACCACACCCAGCTAATTTTTGTATTTTTAGTAGAGACAGGGTTTCACCAGGTTGTCAAGGTTGGTCTCAAACTCCTGACCTCAGGTGATCCACTCGCCTCAGCCTCCCAAAGTGCTGGGATTACAGGCATGAGCCATGGTGCCCGGCCTCAGAATTTCATTTTCAACATGTTTTGCATGATGGGTGATTTTGGAGAATATTTTTTGCTCTATCGCAGGATGATTAAGATGTGGACAAGGTGAAGCGGATGGAGGGGGAGCTTTGAAAGTTACTTGCTATTTAATTGAGGAACTAAACTGCTTTGAGAGCCTGGGGGTCAGATCCTCTGCCTTTTCCTCCTCCCCACCTGCAGTGCAAACATCAGACAATTGATCACTATTGTATCTTGGAGGTGGGAGTGACCATTGCAGTGCTGGGACCAGAAGATGGCATTGTATGTGGAACAACAAAGCACTATTTCTAGAGACTGCCTGCAGGGATATGGAAATAGCTTTATGTGTCTCAGAATGTTCTTCATACAGCTGTTTTTATTGGGGAAATTCTACTTGCCGAAAAGTTTGATAGTGAGACCCTCTCCAGTTTGCAGATTTTTCTCCTTCCTGCTCAACAACTTCCTAGCTCAGTAACTGCCTCTCCCAACAAACTCCCTCAGTTTCACCACACCAAAAAAGGAAGACAAGCCGGTTGCGGTGGCTCACACCTATAATCCCAAAACTTTGGGAGGCCGAGGCGGGTGGATCACCTGAGGTCGGGAGTTCGAGACTAGCCTGACCAACATGGAGAAACCCTGTCTCTACTAAAAACACAAAATTAGCCTGGCGTGGTGGCGCATTCCTGTAATCCCAGCTGGGAGGCTGAGGCAGGAGAATCGCTTGAACCCCGGAGGCGGAGGTTGCAGTGAGCCAAGATCGTGCCATTACACTCCAGTCTGGGCAAGAAAAGTGGAACTCCATCTCAAAAAAAAAAAAAAAAAAAAAACAAGGAAGACAAAAAGAAAAGCAGCTAAAGACTTTGCCTCAGGGGAGAAAGTTCTCTTTTGGGTTGCTATCCACATTCCAACCTCCTGTTCCCACCTCTTCGTCTGCATGCCTAAGAAACTGTTTTACAAGTAAATAAGGGACGCTTTGTCTAGGCTTTGGAGCCAGGAAGTTGAGACAAATTTAGGAATGAGATGAAGTAATGGTATTATTGCAAGTCTCAGGTGTAACTACCTCTGCTCTTTCTCTGAAGAGTTTCTAATTTCTCTTGTTTACTTATTTTTTTCTTGTCATTTTTGTGATTTTATTACTAGTTGTCTCTAATCCTTTCTTTAAATTCTTCATTATGAAACATAAAAACAAATGCCAGGCGCGGCAGCTCACGCCTGTAATCCCAGCACTTTGGGAGGCCGAAGCGGGCAGATCACCCGAGGTCAGGAGTTCGAGACCAGCCTGATCAACATGGAGAAACCCCGTCTCTACTAAAAAATACAAAATTAGCTAGGCGTGGTGGCACATGCCAGTAATCCCAGCTACTTGAGAGACTGAGGCAGGAGAATCGCTTGAACCGGGAGGCAGAGGTTGCGGTGAGCCAAGATCGCGCCATTGCACTCCAGCCTGGGCAACAAGAGCAAAACTCTGTCTCAAAAAAAAAAAAACCACATACAAACCAGAGATAATATTATAATGAGCCTCCAAGTGCCTACCACCTTGCTGCAGCACTTGTCAATCCAGGGACCACCCACCTCACCGGCTCCCCACTCATTACCACCCTCCCCTACTCAATTACTGAGGTAAATCCTAGGCAGCATGATCATTTCTTTTTTTTCTTTTTATTTATTTTGAGACAGGATCTGTCTCTGTCACCCAGGCTGGAGTGTAGTGGCATATCTCTGCTCACTGCAGCCTCTGCCTCCCGGGCAGAAGCCATCCTCCCACCTCAGCCTACATAGTAGCTGGGACCACAGGCACACACCACCACACACTGCTAATGTTTTGTATTTTTTGTAGAGACTGGGTTTTACCATGTTGATCAGGCTGGTCTCAAACTCCTAGGCTCAAGCAATCCTCCCACCTCGGCCTCCCAAAGTGCTAGAATTACAGGCGCGAGCCACTGCACCCAGCGAAGAACACTTTTTAAAAAATAAATAGGCCGGGCGCGGTGGCTCACACCTGTAATCCCAGTACTTTGGGAGCCCAAGGAGGGCGAATCATGAGGTCAAGAGATTGAGACCATCCTAGCTAACATGGTGAAACCCCATTTCTACTACAAATACAAAAACAAAATTAGCCTGGCGTGGTGGCAGGCGCCTGTAGTCCCAGCTACTTGGGAGCTGAGGCAGGAGAATGGAGTGAACCCGGGAGGCGGAGCTTGCAGTGAGCTGAGATCATGCCACTGCACTCCAGCCTGGGGCAACAGAGTGAGACTCAAAAAAAAAAAAAAAAAAGCCCCCCCTCCCCACACACAATAATATAAATAAATAAATAACCACAATACTATTATCACATCTTACAAACTCAACAAAAATTTCTTAATATCATCAAATACCCAGTTTGTGTTCAAATTTTCCTGATTGTTTCATAAATATACTCTTACAGTTGGTTTCTTTTAGCGAGATTCAAATGAGACCCACCTGTTGACCTTTGCCCTTAGGGTTTCCCAGGGTCTGAATTTTGTTGACGACATTCCCATGTTGCTATGTAATACGGTCCTCCATGCCCTGTGTTTTTCTGTAAACTGATAGATGTGGAGGTGCAATGACATTTGTGTTTGATTTACTTTGGCAAATATAGTTCATCAGTGATACTCTATACTTCTTGTTGCTTTACATCCGGAGGCTGATAATGTCTGCTTTTCTCTCTTTTCTAATTATTTGTGAAAGGAAAAATGTGGGGGGTTGGGAGAAAAAAACCCTTAAGTACATACTCGCTAAATCACATTGCTACAGGTAACTTCCATTAAGAACTTGAAAGTAAAGGTAGCTGCATTTTCCCCTAGGGAACACAATGATAGACAGGAGCCTTAGTCTACAGCTTGAAGGATTGTAATTATACCTAAGCAACCCTCCTGGACCAGTTTAATGTTATTAGCTGTGATGTATCCCTACCTTTGATGTCATTATCCTTACTTAGCTCCCTTAAAGCAGAGATCAAGATGAAAAGGGCTTCAGCTGCAGCATGGCACATGGAGATTAGAGTGGGGCTTTTGGATGCTGAGGAGCAGACCTAGAATGGGAAATAGATGGGAGCCACAGAAGTGAAGGTCCCCCTCCCTCATTGCTCAACCTACTCCACATCTCCAGGTCTGCACATCTGTTCAGTTACTGAATCCTGTGTAAGCTACCTTCTTTTTCTTTTTTCTTTTATTTATTTATTTATTTTTTTTTTGAGATGGAGTTTTGCTCTTGTTACCCAGGCTGGAGTGCAATGGTGCAATCTCGGCTCACTGCACCCTCCAACTCCCAGGTTCATGCAATTCTCCTCCCTCAGCCTTCCAAGTAGCTGGGATTACAGGCTGCACCACCATGTCTGGCTAATTTTTGTATTATCAGTAGAGAGAGGGTTTCACCATGTTGGCCAAGCCGGTCTCGAACTCCTGACCTCAAGTGATCCACCCACCTTGGCCTCCCAAAATGCTGGGATTACAGGTGTGAGCCACCATGCCCGCTGTAAACTACCTTCTTAAAAGCTCTAGAAGAGGGCTCTTAACCTTTTGTTGTGTGTCATGCACCTTCCGCAAGCTGATGAAGTTGATAGACCCATCTCAGAATTTTTTTTTTTTTTTGAGACAGTGTCTCACTCTGTCACCCAGGATTGGTTGCAGTGGCACGATCATGGCTCATTGCAGCCTCCACCTCCCAGGCTCAAGTGATCCTCCTGACTCAGCCTCTTGAATAGCTGAGACCACAGGCTTGTGTCACCATGCCCAGGTAATTTTTAATTTTTTTTCGTAGAGGCAGGGTCTCACATTATGTTGCCCAGTCTGGCCTCGAGAACTCCTGGGCTCAAGCAATCTTCCTGCCTTGGCCTCCCAAAGTGGTGGGATTACAGGGGAGAGCCACCACACCTAGCCAGAAGAATGTTTTAAATACACCAAATAAAACATTTATACCAAAATACAGTTATCAAAATATTAAATTAACAAGAGTTAGGGTGACCCTATTAATTAGTGTAATTTCAAAATAGTAATGAACATAAGTGATAGTTTGAGATTTCTGTGACTTTTCTAATGTGACGTGAAAATATTTGTGATTTTTCTTTTTCTTTTTTTTTTTTGAGATGGAGTTTCGCTCTTGTTGCCCAGGCTGGAGTGCAATGGCAAGATCTCGGCTCACCTCAACCTCCGCCTCCTGGGTTCAAGCGATTCTCCTGCCTCAGCCTCTTGAGTAGCTGGGATTACAGGAATGTGCCACCACGTCCAGCTAATTTTGTATTTTTAGTAGAAACAGGGTTTCTCCATGTTGGTCAGGCTGGTCTTGAACTCCCAACCTCAGGCGATCCGCCCGCCTCGGCCTCCCAAAGTGCTGGGATTACAGGTGTGAGCCACCGCACCTGGCCAATATTTGTGATTTTTATTGACGACAAAGTCAAAGGTTCTCTTCATATTATTGTGGTGTATCGCCTACAAGCATAATTAAAATAAACACTAAATTTCAGTTTAAAGTTTACTGAAAATAAATATGTATTTTTTATTCCCTATTTAAGCTTTGAATCCCCTGACTTCCTATACCATTACCACTGTCCTAGTTCAGGTTCATGTTGTTTTTTACTTTAATTGTTATCACAGTCTCTTAACATTTCTCCCTATGTTCTCCAGTCCTGTAGGTGCTAAATCTGACGTGGTCACTTCTCAGCTTGGAATCCTTCAGTGCACCACCACAGCCTTGAACTACATATTTGAAATACATATTTATTTTCAGTAAACTTTAAACTGAAATTTAGTGTTTATTTTAATTATGCTTGTAGGCGATACACCACAATAATATGAAGAGAACCTTTGACTTTGTCGTCAATAAAAAGTCCCTTGAGGGACTTCAGATGTAAGTCCCTTAGCTGCTCGTTAAAACTCCCCCAGCCTGACCCAATACACAATCTTGACTTTAAACCACTTGTCATTCTAAATCACTAGCATTTCCTGGAAAAAAAAGCCATTTTTCCTTCAGGGCTAAGCTCAGGGACCAATTCTGTGTCACCTTCTTTGAATCCTGATGATATTCACTTCTTTATTTGACCTGATTTATTGGGCCCCAGACACCATGCTGAGTGTTGGGGATTCAGCTCTGGACAATGTCAAATGTCAGTCCTGCCTTTCAGATCCTTTCTACTGGGTGAGCCCTGGAGTGCTGGTTCTCCTCGCGGTGCTGCCTGTGCTCCTCCTGCAGATCACTGTTGGCCTCGTCTTCCTCTGCCTGCAGTACAGACTGAGAGGTACAGGGCAGAGGGTGGGTGGATCAGGATCCTTTCTTTAAATGAGCTGGCTTCTTGGAGCTACACCACTTAACATGTATTTGTGAGTGACTTCTGGGTTCAGAAGTTCTTCTCACTATTGAGTGATAAAGAAAAAAAATAACTCCATGATGAAAGAGTTTTACATCTTACGGAATGCTTTCATATGAATAATCGGACCTAGCATTTCCCTATGAGCTAACTATGCCATATAGTAACCCCATTTTACAGAGGATACAACTGAGGCCAGGAGTAGTTCAGTGACTTACTCAAACCGATATAACTTATAAGTGGTAGAGCTGAGGCCTCTGTATCATACCTAGCAGCTCCATGCAACTTGGGAGAGTGTGAGCTTCGAAGTCAGACAGGTCTAGGCTATTAGGAGTTTTGAATAAAGATACTGAAGTGAAAGTCTCTACCACACAGTAGGCGTTCGAAAATTGTTTCCTCTTTCTCCATTCAACACTGAGGACTCAGGTTCAGCTGCTGATGAAGCTCCTCTTTTTTGCCTAGAGCTTTCATTCTGAGCCTTCTCCTCCTACCAAGTGTCTCCCCAATGCCAGAGCAGGAAGAGTCTTCACTCCTCCCCATGCCCCACCTCCCATTTGTTACTAAGAGGAGAGGAGAAAGTAGCAAGGAGGGTATGGGGAATGTTCTGGGGGAATGGGTGTTGGTGCGATCAACAACAAAGTCCTTTCTCTCACCTTGAATTCATCCCAGATGCCTGCTTGTTTACTTCTTCCACACAAAAAAAGGCCTTCAGCCCTCATGGCTGAGCAGAAAGAATCTGAATGTTAGAGTCAGGCAGCCTGGGTTTGAATTCCATCTCAGGTACTGAACTCTATAGCAAAATTCTTAGATTCTCCAAGCTTCAGTTGCCTTGTCTGTCAAATAGAGAAAACATCCTTCGTCCTAAATTGTAGGGAGGATTAAAGTCATGCAAAGTGCCTACTACAAATCCAGTCACAAAGTAGCTAGCTACTCACTAAATGTTCAGCTCCTCCCTCCTCATTCAGATGGGAAGTGGCTTTAGATAAACAAAAGTGGCAACGCAGTGGGCTGGAGCAGCTCTGTGAACTGAGAATCCAAGAAAAGGGGCGAAGAGCAGCTGGGATGTATTGGATGCTTGTGCTGGCTTGGAGCATTGCTCACATTCTTTATTCGCTATTGTATCTAGACTATAGCTAGAGAAAGAGCCGCAACCATTGGCTTTAAATCCAGTGCTCTTCCTACTCTCCTGAGGTTGTTTCCAGGCTGCAGAGAAATAGCCTGCACAAGGGGCCCAGGCGCTGGGTGTGGGAGGGTCCCCACCGAGAGCCAGAACATGCAGGAACTAAAATGTTGCCTTTTTCTATTTTAGGAAAACTTCGAGCAGAGATAGGTGAGTTCCAGTCATCGTTTCTCCCAATTCTTGCCTTTTGGTTTTTTGGCATAACGGAAATGGTCCCGTTCTTGGACCGTCTCTCCCTCTCAATACCCTGTTTTCCCCTCAGTTTCCCTTTCTCTACAGTGGGTGTGTCGTGCCTAGAACAAGTTTTAAGTAATTAAATAACAAAGACTCAGGATAAAAGATCCTTTTTGAGTGCCCTACTAAATCCATTTCCATTTGTTTCTCTTTCAGAGAATCTCCACCGGACTTTTGGTAAGTTCCGGCATGTCTAGGCCCTCCCAGGTCAACTTGGTATTTCACTCTAGTTCCAGTCACCTGGGGGAACAAGGACCCCTGGCTCCTGGTTGAGTCCCTTCCTCTCTTCTCTTTTCTTTCTTTAAATAAGAAGTCATTTGCATTTAGGATTGGTAAAATCATAATAAAAATACTCATGTACTGTTTTTATGTGCCAGGCACTATTCTAACTACTTTACAAAAACGTTATCTTATTCTGTTTAACTCCTTATGCACATGATCTCTCTTTTCAGGAATGGCAAAACAGAGGTAAATAGATCGTTTACACGTAAACCTGATGTCTGGTTGGGGAGGTGAAACAAACAGAAACAAGACACAACTGTATCACCTGTACTTATATTTCTGCTTTACAAACTCAGGATGTTTCCATGAGTACAGAACATGACTAATCAGAGAAGACCTCATAGAGGAATAGAAAAGCCACCAAGCCCCACTAGGAATTGACCCCTCAAGGACATGGTTTCTAGCCTTTTTGTTCACTGCAGATTGCCCAATGCCTAAAGATAATGGCAACAGAAGAGCACCCAAATATTTGTTAGATAAATGTTGCAGACACTAGAAGGTGTCATTAGGGCACAGATGGTACCTTCTCTGAGCAAACTTCCTTCACAGCTCCTCCTCCCGAGGCTGTAGGTGACTCTACTCTTGTCACCTGGCACACAGAGGTCTATCGTACGATTTAGGAAATTAGACCAGTGTGTGGACCACACACACACACATCTTTACACACCCAAAGAGGAGGAATAGTATCTTTGTTTTGGAGGACTTGACTATGAAAGGTCTTAACTCCTTTTTGTACCATGAATCTCTCTGGCACTCCAGTGAAGTCTAAAGGACCCCTTTGCAGAATGTTTTTAAATATACACATAAAATAGAACACATAGGATTGCAAAAACAATCATTGTACTAAAATACAGTTATCAACCGATAATCACATTTGTGATATAGTAACATAAATGTTTCTTTTTTTTTTTTTTTGAGGCAGAGTTTTGCTCTTGTCACCCAGGCTGGAGTGCAATGGCGCGATCTAGGCTCACTGAAACCTCTGCCTCCCGGGTTCAAGCGATTCTCAGCCTCCCGAGTAGCTGGGATTACAGGTGCCCGCCACCACACCCAGCTAATTTTTGTATTTTTAGTAGAGACTAGGTTTCACCAGGTTGGCCAGGCTGGCCTCGAACTCCTGACCTCAGGTGATCCACCTGCCTTGGCCTCCCAAAGTGCTGGGATTACGGGCATGAGCCACCGTGCCCGGCCATAAATATTTCTTTAGCCAAAGTAATACATTAAGTAATGTAGCAGCAAGTCTAATAACCTGTAATTTCTTTCTTTCTTTCTTTCTTTCTTTTTTTTTGAGATGAAGTTTTTTTGAGATGGAGTGCAATGGCACAATCTCGGCTCACTGCAACCTCCACCTCCTGGGTTCAAGCGATTCTCCTGCCTCAGCCTCCCAAGTTGCTGGAACTACAGGCGCATGCCACCATGCCCAGCTAATTTTTGTATTTTTAGTAGAGACGGGGTTTCACCATGTTGGCCAGGCTGGTCTTGAACCCCTGACCTCAGGTGATCTGCCTGCCTTGGCCTTCCAAAGTGCTGGGATTACAGGCATGAGCCACCAGGCCCAGCCCAATAACCTTTAATTTCAACATACTAATAAACATAAACAGTATTTCAAGATTTCTGCAATAACTCTAATGGGAATGAAAACATCTGTGGCTTCCATTGGTAATTAAGTCACAGGTACTGCTCATATTGTGGTTAGTTGTAAAATGTTTTGGTTTGTTTTGTTTTTTCCAAGACTTGGGGGAATGGGTGTTGGTGGGATCAACAAGAGTCTTGCTCTGTGGCCCAGGCTGGAGTGCAGGGGCAGGATCTTGGCTCACTGCAACCTCCGCCTCCCAGGTTCAAGCGATTCTCCTGCCTCAGCCTCCTGAGTAGCTGGCATTACAGGCATGTGCCACCACGCCCAGCTAATTTTTACATTTTTAGTAGAGATGGGGTTTCACCATGTTGGCCTGGCTGGTCTTGAACTCTTGGCCTCATGATCCACCCGTCTCGGACTCCCAGAGTGTTGGGATTACAGGCATGAGCCACCACACCTGGCAGTTGTTACATTTTTAATGAAAGAAAATGTTAAATCCAGTTATTGAAAATAAGGAGGCAGTACTTTTCTCATCCAAGTTCATGGACTTTCTGAATTTTGTCCCCAGAGTCCTTTGGTGTTCTAGGACCCCAGGTTAAGGAACCAAAAAAGACAGGTGGGTGGGGCATGAGGGGGAACACATGTTAACCCTGTTTGTTCTGGTGAACAATTCAGATCCCCACTTTCTGAGGGTGCCCTGCTGGAAGATAACCCTGTTTGTAATTGTGCCGGTTCTTGGACCCTTGGTTGCCTTGATCATCTGCTACAACTGGCTACATCGAAGACTAGCAGGTGCAGTGGCTGGGCAGCAGGCAAGACCACCAAATAGTGGGGGACCAAGTCAGCTCTGAATGGGAAGCCAAAAGAGAATAGAACCAGGACTCAAGATTAGGGGAGCTGGGATTTCCTTATTCCTCTGTCCCCATGCCCAACCCCAGGCTCTTCTGAGAAACTGTGAAGAGAACCACTTACTGGATCTGTGGGATCCCCCAGTGGAAAGGGCAGTGTGGGTCACTCCAAATGTCCATAGGGAGGATGTGGGGAAGGTGCTGTTCATCTTCCACTAATCACATATTTGTTTCTTTTTGTTTTCAGGGCAATTCCTTGAAGAGCTACGTAAGTTCTCTTCTCTCTGTTATAAGCAGAGAATAAAAAGCCAGGAAAGGGAGACAGAAGCAACAAGAGGAAGAGGCGGGCTATTGAGGGATCACATTCCCAGAGGAAAGGAGGAGCTGGAGAGCCTGGGTGGAGGGAAGACTCCTCCTGGGAGGTAGAGGGCAAAGAAGCCAGCTGTTAGAGACACATTTACAGGTGGCAGAGAAGCTGGAGGCACTCCTATCTGCCACCTGATCCATTCCTCCTTCACTGCCCCTAAGCAGGAATCCAACCCTAGCTGGTCTCATTGCCCATTCCACAGCAACTGCCCAGTGCCTCACCTCTCAGATCAACCATTGAGGCAGGAATGGAGACAAGATGACCCCAAGGGCTTTTCTTCTCCCTAGTTCAATGGTTTTATGATACAAACTACTGACATACGTTTTTCAAGTTATTTTCTCCTTCTTCTAGGAAATCCCTTCTGAGTGATGTCACATCTTGGCAGGGGTGGAGGAGAGCCTGGTTGCCCAGGGATTTGTCCTTGGGGACATCTCATCCATCAAGTTGCACACTCACTGGCATCTTTGCTATGGGGACATTCCAATTTGCACTTTCAGGAACACTCTGAATTCCAAGTAGAATTGATTTCCCTTCTTCTGTCATCTACCTTTTCTCTTCATTTTCCCATTTTTATTACCCTTCTTTCCATTTCTCTCTCCAGTCTTCCACCTGGAAGCCCTCTCTGGCTAAGGACAGGCAGGTGCCCCTCTCTCCATCAGAGGACACCTGTACTGGAGAGCAACACAGGATGGTCTCTGCCATGAACTGGAGGCCAGGAATCTCCTCACTGAAAATTACAGTATGGTAACTTTGCAAATGGTGGTTGTTTCTTCCAAGACTCCAGCCCTGATTGCGCAAAACTGAAAGGCATGTGAAGGGAAGGAAGAGGAAGAGTGCAAAACATTGAAGAGAGAGCTGAGTGAGCTGAAGAGTGAGGATATGAGTAGCCCCAACCCAAACCTGGAGATGGGGAGAAACCTACAGAATACTAGCCAGAGCTCCTCCTTGTCTTGGCAGCCTACTAGGGACCTGGGGAAGCAAAAACGAAAGCTGGGCAACATGCCTGCTTTAGAATGTTTTCCTTCTACTTACACATCTTCCACAGGTCTCAGAATCTTTCCTTCCTCTCATCCTTTTCTCCTATCTTCATATCTATCAGAGTATCCACTGTTTATTCAACAACTACTACTTGATGGTCAGACACAAACAAACAAGCTAGGTGCTAATTAATAAAGATATGAGTTTTGGCCGGGTGCGGTGGCTCACGCCTGTAATCCCAGCACTTTGGGAGGCCGAGGCGGGCGAATCACGAGGTCAGGAGTTCGAGACCAGCCTGGCCAACATGGTGAAACCCCATCTCTACTAAAAATACAAACAATTAACTGAGCATAGTGGTGGGCACCTATAATACCAGCTACTCCGGAGGCTGAGGCAGGAGAATCGCTTGAACCCAGGAGGCAGAGGTTGCAGTGAGCTGAGATCGCGCCACTGCACTCTAGCCAGAGTGACAGAGTAAGACTCTGTCTCAAAAATAAATAAATAAATAAATAAATAAATAAATAAATAAATAAATAAATAAAAAATAATAATACAAGTTTTCATAAGCACACTTCTAACCCCTTGTCTTTTATGTATTTCCTTCCTTATCCACGCACCTGTCTCCCTCTACTCCAGCCTCATTACCCCAGAGGTCAGTCCTCAGGAAAACTAAACACAAAGAAAGAGCTCAGTCAGAAAGGCCATTTATTTATGTTTCAAGATGCTCACTGCCTCCTTTGTTTTGTCTCCTTTGCAGGCCTTCTCTCTTAGGCCTCTTCTCCTGGGGGTATGGATCCTGGGGGGAGATTGATCACCTCCATGCTTCCATTCCTCCCCAGCCATAGTGGGGACATCATGAGAGAAGCCAAGCCACTGGCCCAGGATCACCCGGCATTTATGGTGGCTGCTCTGGCACAGGTCCTTGCCTTTATAGCCCCTCCAGTGATCCATAAGGCCCTCTTTCTCCCCAAAGGAGAGGTCACAGATAGGGCAAAGGTAGCTCTTCTGCTTCCAGTGGGTCTGCTGGTGTCTGACCAGCCTGGAAAATGAGCTGAAAGACTTGCTGCAATGGAAGCAGTAGTTGGGCGGCTCTGTGAGGTGGGCCTTCTGGTGTCTGGAGAGATAGGATTTCTTGCTAAAAGTCAAAGAACAATGGGGGCAACAGAAGACATTGAGTCTTGAGGGCTTCACTGGATGAGAGTTGGATCTGGCATCCTGACAGAGGGTTCCAGTGATGGGTGCCTGGGTCCTGGTCACAGGTGCTTGGTTCTTAAGTACAGATGCCTGGTTCTGGGCCATAGGACCCTCAGTTCTAAATATGGGTTCCTGGGACCTGGCCACTGGTGCATGGTTCACATCCAAAAGCCCCTGGATGGACCTCTGGCTTCTGGCGATGGGTGTCTGGAATTCAGCCTGGGTGCCTGGAATCCTCAAAGTACACTCCTGGTTTCCATCCACTGGCTCCTGGTTTTGGTGTATCTTCTGGTGGCGTTTGAGCTCAGACTGGTCCCGGAAGCTCTTCCCACACACAGAGCATGAATGGGGCCGGTAACCCAGATGGACGCGGCGGTGACGACTTAGTCCAGAAGCATCACAGTAGGTCTTGTCACAGAGCGTGCAACAGAAGGGCCTCTCCCCAAGATGCATGCGTCTGTGATAGCTGAGGGACTTGGGGCTCCGAAACAACTTCCCACACTGACTGCAGCTGTTAGTCAGCTTGGGATTGTGAACAAACTGGTGGCTATAGAGGTAGGAGCGCCTGCTGAAACATTTGCCACAGGTGTAGCAAAAAAAGGGTGGCCCAGCCTGGGATGCTTGAAGCACCCGGGTCCTGTCCATAGTCCCAGCTGGGGCAGATAGGGGGCACTGGCCGGCCCCTCTGCATGCAAGGAAGACCTTGTCATCACTAGTCCCCTCATCTCTCAGACTGGGATGTTGTTCTCGAAGCTCTTTCTTCTTGCCTTCTACAGTGAATGAGGAAGAATAACACAAAATTCACTGTAAGAACTCCAACAGAGGCTTGGCATGGTGGCTCACACCTGTAATCCCAGCACTTTGGGAGGCCGAGGCCAGCGGATCACCTGAGGTTAGGAGTTCGAAACCAGCCTGACCAACATGGTGAAACCCTGTCTCTACTACAAATACAAAAATTAGCTGGGCGTCATGGCATCTGCCTGTAATCTCAGCTACTAGGGAGACTGAGGCAGGACAATCACTCGAACCCGGGAGGCGGAGGTTGCAGTGAGCCAAGATGGTGCCACTGCACTCCTGCCTGGGCAACTAGAGTGAAACTCTGTCTCAAAAAAAAAAAAAGAAAGAAAGAAAAAGAAGAAGAAGAAGGAGAAGGAGAAGAAGGAGAAGGAGAAGAGAAGGAGAAGAAGAAGAAGAAGGAAGAAGAAGAAGAAGAAAAGAAAAGAAGAAGAAGAAGAAGACGAAGACGAAGAAGAAGAAGAAGAGGAAGAAGAAGAACTCCAACACAGCACTCCATTCAGCCTAACACACTTCTTGTCTCTGCCCTTGCTCTCCCACCCAACACATTCATCCTTACCCTTGGGCCTCATAGGCTAGAAATAAGAAGAAAAAAAGAAAAAATTGGCTTTTCAAATTAGAAGCAAATAAAAAGTTAACTGGAATCTTTCAACACTGTCAGAAATGTAAATTTTAACTTACAACAACACTTCTTGAAATCTATCTTATCTCATTCTCAATATTGCTCAAACTCCCATAGACAATCCACAGACACCCACATAATAATGCATCATGAACACTGGGCCACTTGAGGGTGAAAAGAGGTGTTATTAATAATCAAGCTGGGATGAGAAGTATAAACCAGGACTGTCCTGGAAAACCAAAAAGTGTATCAGCCTGGCTTGATATCTCTCTCAACTATTTACTACCAGGGACAAGCCTCCCTTACTCCAACCCAGCATGAAACCTATCTCCTTTGCTTCTCTTTTCTCTTGGAAAGAACATTTTAATCAGAGCACTATCATGGACATAAGCAACTTTCATGTCATCTCTCAATCTCTAGAAACTGAAGACATCTACTTCTCCTGAAAGACTTAGATCTTCAGCCAGCCAGGCACGGTGGCTCATGCCTGTAATCCCAGCACTTTGGGAGGCCGAGGTGGATGGATAACCTGAGGTCAAGACATCAAGACCATCCTGGCCAACATGGTGAAACCCTGTCTCTACTAAAAATACAAAAATTATCTGGACACGGTGGCACATGCCTGTAGTCCCAGCTACTCGAGAGGCTGAGGCAGGAGAATCGCTTGAACCCGGGAAGTGGAGGTTGCAGTAAGCCAAGATTGTGCCACTGCACTCCAGCCTGGCAACAGAGCGAGACTGTGTCTCAAAAAAAAAAAAAAAAAAAAAAGAGAGAGAGAGAGAGAGACTTGGATCTTCAACTTGAAGTCAAGGGACTTGAGCCTATGATATTAAGCTCTCTTTCAACTCCAAGTCTGACCAGGCTGGACAGAGGTACACTAGGAGAGCATCTATAGAGCATTCATCCTCTTCATCAGCTCTCCATCCTTTCAGGGGTTATCCTGGGCCCTTTTCCCCTTCCTCCCTGCTTGGCAATTCTTACCTGAAAGGCCTTCTGTGTTTGGGAGATGGACAAACTCTCTCCACTGTTCCTCTTCTTGCTCAAGCTTGGTGATTAGCTCTGGCTTATGCAGAAAGATTCTGGCTGATGTGTGGGAATGAGAAAGAGTTGAGTTGGTCCCAGGTATGGCCCCTTCACATCTGATGGGGACAACAGGCTACCTCCTGTAGCCTTTGTTTAAGAACCATAACCTGGGACATGTAGATGTGGAAAGGAGACATTAAAAGGCCAGCTGCTAGCAAAGTACCTGGTTCTCAGGAGTGACTTAGTAAATATTTGTTTGATGAATGGAAAAATTTGCATATTTTGAGAACACTGTCATCATGTTACAAGTGTTATCTTTGCCTTCATGCAGGCTATCATTTCTTCTCTTTACCACTGAGCTTAGTGACTCAGATCTTTCACACCTGGAAAGCATAGAACCAGGGGTCAGTGAAACTAATTGTAAGCTGATCTACCTGTCCAGGGAAACCAGATGTTCCAGGGCCCTTAGGACAGGGGGCTTGCTGAGGGAAGCCCAGCCTCTTACCCACAGATGTTAGATTCTTAAAGGTTTCCGACATAACATCCTGGTAAAGGACCCTCTGGCTGGCATCTAGACAGTCCCACTCTTCCTGGGTGAAATTCACTGCCACATCCTCAAAGGTGACTGGCTTCTGGAAGAACAGGAGAGACTCAAGAAGTTTATATAAATATATATGTGTGTGTGTGTGTGTGTGTGTACAAGATTAACATCCAGTCTCAAGATTCAGAGAATTAAAACCTAAGAGAAAGATAAAACCATGGAAGGAAGAGAGAAATATTAAAAGACAGACACAAGGCCAGCAACTGTGAAGTATAGAAAGGAAAGGAGGCCGGACGCGGTGGCTCACGCCTGTAATCCCAGCACTTTGGGAGGCTGAGGCAGGCAGATCACGAGGTCGGGAGTTCGAGACCAGCCTGACCAATATGGTGAAACCTGGTCTCTGCTAAAAACACAAAAATTAGCTGGGCATGGTGGCGCATGCCTGTAATCCCAGCTACTCAGGAGGCTGAGGCAGGAGAATTGCTTGAGCCCGGGAGGCAGAGGTAGCAGTGAGCCAAGATCGCGCCACCGCACTCCAGCCTGGGTGACAGAGCGAGACTCCGTCTCAAAAAAAAAAAAAAAGAAAAAAAAAAAAAGGAAAGGAAAGATGAAGAGAAAGGGAGAAAGATAAGATGTGGGGGAGAGGAAAGAGGATATGCAGATATGCAGAATATAAACAGGAAAGCAAAGCGAAGGAAAAAATGCTGCCACTCTAACAAATTTCAGGAAGTACTCCATGAAGGATGCCAGGATGGTGCGGGAGATGGAGAAAGGTCTTGCAGCTCCTTTTTCTGGATGTCGTTCAGTCTGGAACAATCTGAGATTTCATTTGACCTGCAGGCAGGAGTATGTATGAAAGAGCTCCTGGAGTCCAGGACCTGGACCCCACCTCTCTCTAGCTTAGTCTCCTCACCTTCTTCACCCGTGCCTCCCTCCAGCAATCTCTCTTCATGGCTTCCTGCAGGGTGGCAGCTACCTCGCCCACCCATGGGAGCGTCTTCTGTACAGGTTCGATTGGCTTCAGCTGTTCAAACATCTTCTCTTCTGTGGTGTCTCTTTCTAGCTTTATCCACTCCTGGCCTGGTGCCCAGGCCTGACTGGATTCCTTCCTGGGGCTATCTACCTCCCAGTAACTGGGCAGATGGAGAGGCCCAGCAAAGGCCCCAGGGTTTGATGTGGCTTCCTGTGACAAATGTATCTGCTCCAAGAGGCTGTCTTCCTTTTTTGTTCTGCTGTCCAAATTCTCCTCTTCCACAATTGAGAACAATTTTGCTTCCCTCAAAGCTGGGCCACCGAGTTCAGGGCCCTGGTCACCCTTGGCTCACCAGCTGCCATTGTTTAGTAACAACACCAGCCTGGGCTAGGTGTCTGCCGTCTGTTCTACCCTGCTTCTAGAAACCTGAGGTCAGAGAAAAACAAAACATATCAGCAAGAGGGAGGGTAAGAAACAGCTTCCTTATTTGGTCAGGGAATGCCAGCAGTTACTAAACCCCTACAGTGTGCCACTGGATGCTCTCAGCAATGAGGTAACAATTACTGGCCCTGTCTTAAGGACCTAATGCAGAGATGCTAAATAATTTTCCAAGGACAAGTGGACATTCTTGATCTACAAAAGTTAATGTTTAAACCTAATGTTAATGTTAGACTCAGTACCATTGGAAATCATGTAGCTGGGGTAACCAGGCTAGGATCTGTCACAGATCACCTCGAGTGAGTCTCTTTATTCTTTCTGACTTGGTTTCATCAGAAATGTGAGAATAAAGGAGACACTCTCTAAGATCTCTTCCATGACCAAAATTATACACACACACACACACACACAATTCTGTGATCTGGATTTTCAATACATGTAGTAGTTCCCCTTTATCATGGTTTTGCTTTCCAATGCTTCAGTTACCCATGGTCAACCATGGTTCAAAAATATTAAATGAAAAATTCCGGAGGACAGGCACAGTGGCTCACACCTGTAATCCCAGCATTTTGGGAGGCTGAGGTAGGCAGATCATCTGAGGTCAGGAGTTCGAGATCAGCCTGGTCAACATGGTGAAACCCTGTCTCTACTAAAAATACAAAAAGAAAATAGCTGGGCATAGTGGCACACATCTGTAATCCCAGCAACTCAGGAGGCTGAGGCAGGAGAATCACTTGAACCCTGGAGGTGGACGTTGCCATGAGCCAAGACTGCGCCACTGCACTCCAGCCTGGGACATAGAGCGAGACTCCGTCTCAAAAAAAAATCCAGAGATAAACAATTCCTAAGTTTTAAATTGCTTGACATTCTGAGTAGTGTGATGAAATCTTGTACCTTTTCTCTCTGGCCTGCCCAGGATGTGAATCATCCCTTTGACTAGCATATCCACACTGCAGACAATACCTGCCCATTAGTTCCTTAGTAGCTAGCCATCTCAGTTACCAGGTTGACTACTGTAGTATAGCAGTTGCCTGTGCTCAAGAATGCCTTATTTTACTTAATAATGACCCAAAAGCACAAGAGTAGAGACGCTGGAAATTCAGATATGCAAAGAGAAGCCATAAAATAAAAAGGTAAAAATTCTTGTCTTAAGGAAAGAAAAAATAATCATATGCTGAGGTTGCTAAGATTTACAATATAAATTATTTTGAGAGAGATACCACATTCATACAACTTTTATTACAATATATTGCTGTAATTGTTCTATCTTATTACTAGTTATTGTTGTCAATCTCTTACCATGCCTAATTTGTAAATTAAACTTTATCATTATTATGTATGTATAGAAAAAGAAAACCATAGTGTATACAGGGTTTGGTACTATTCATGGTTTCAAAGTATCCACTGGGGTGGGGCGCGGTGGATCACTTCAGGGCAGGAATTTGAGACCAGCCTGGCCAACATGGTGAAACCCCGTCTCTACTGAAAATACAAAAATTAGCTGGGCGTGGTGGCACGCTGTAGTCCCAGCTGCTCAGGATGCTGAGGCAGAATTACTTGAACCCGTGAGGTGAAGGTTGCAGTGAGCCAAGACTGTGCCACTGTACTCCAGCCTGGGTGACAGAGTGAGATTCTGCCTCAAACAACAACAAAAACAAAGTATCCACTAGAGCTCTTGGAACATATCACCTGTGGATAAGGGGAACCACTGTATATACAGATCTTTGTGAAGAATACTGCTAACAACCCAAGAGCAATCACTTATTCAGGGCTCACAATGAGCCCAGCACTGGAGTTCCCTGCTCATCCTTGGAAATTTCCTGCTCAGATGCAAACATAGCTGAACTCTCACCTTTTCCTGCTGACAGCCACTCACCCACATCTCCCTTACTAGAGATAGAAAGAAAAGAATAAAGACCAAAAAACCCTGTTGACTATTTTTTCCTTTCACTTTTTGAGAAGTGTTAATAGAACTGAAAATACCAGCAAGGAAAAACGCCCTCGAGGAATAGAGTTAATTGGATCTCCAAAATGTTGTCATGAAAGGTGCATTCCTGGGATATGAATTTGATTTCCTTCCTTTCTTCCTCTCTCTTTCTTTCCTCTCTCTCCCTTTCCTTTCCTGTCTTTCAAAACCATTCGCACTCCTTTTATGAGGCATGCAGATCTTGGATTATTCTTCCACTTTCCAGCCAACTGCACTTCAAAACAGCCTTAATAAGGCTGGGCACGGTGGCTCAGCCTGTAATCCCAACACTTGGGGAGGCCGAGGCGGGCGGATCACCTGAGGTCAGGAGTTTGAGACCAGCCTGACCAACATGGACCTCGTCTCTACTAAAAATACAAAATTATCCCGGCGTGGTGGCGCATGCCTGTAATCGTAGCTACTAGGGAGGCTGAGGCAGGAGAATCGCTTGAACCCGGGAGGCAGAGGTTGCGGTGAGCGGAGATCGCGCCATTGCACTCCAGCCAGGGAAATGAGAGTGAAACTCCGTCTCAAAAACAAACAAACAAACAAACAAACAAAAAAAACGCCTTAGTAACAGTGCCCTCAAGAACCTGGCCTTCCAGTTCTCTGGCAGAGAAGACCTACTGCTGCCGCTAGTCCTCAAGATGGCATTTGCTGGAGGCGGTAGGCAGAGGCCCTAAGTGTGGATTCTAACCCCCGTGGGGACTGAATCTCTGCGGCTGTTGCTTGCCCAGGCACGTTTGCCTCCCATGAACTTCCTTCATCCACAGGGCCCCAAACCTCATGCCGGCGGGAGGAGGAAGGAGACTGGGCATAACTCATCAGACTTTCGACTGTAAGAGCTGGAGGCCGCCTGCGGGCTTATCTGTACCCGGGCCTGTCCCCACCCTTCCAGAATGTAAATCCTCTGAGGGAATGTGTCGTCGCCATCTTTCAGTCCTTTGAGTGCACCCAGTCTCTCTCCAACCCAAAACCCTTTATCCACAGCAATTCTGAGAATGATGAGAATCCCCCTCACCCCTCACACCGCAAACAGTTGCAATGCTTAGTGGGATTCACCCTTGTCGTCACCAACCCTGCTACTCCAGCCACGTGAGTTTTCCGCCTGTCAGCCAAGCAAAATGGCCTTCCTGCAGTCGCACGGCCCTTTGGTCTCTGCTCAGGGCTTCGGGGACCCTTTCCAGCCATTGCCCTGCACCTACCCACCAGATCGCCGCCCTGGTGGGCGCTCCTGGCCCTGTCCTCCGCGCTTAGTTTGTCATTGGGCGCCCAGATCCGGAACCCCAGCCTCGAAGCTTCCGGTGGCCGGGAACAAAGCCGGTTTTGCTCACTGTTGCCTGGCAAAGCAGGCGCTTGTTAGCACCCACTGAATGCGCTTATGTGCTCAGAAACGGTCCCATTGGTTGGGACTACCTTCCCCGATGCCCATCCGCCCAGAATCTTCCTTCTGGGATGCCGACTTTTTCAACACGTGCCAGGAGCCCTTCCTCGGCCCGGAATCCCCAGAGTGCCCACAGTGGACAGGGCACCTGGATACACCCCAGACTAACCCACGTTTCCCCGGAGGACCCCAGAGGTTGGAAGCCCCTCCAAGATTGGGGCGCAGTGCTCCCCTGGCCTGCGGAAGAGTCAGAGGAGTGGGGACAACATCCAACATCAGCCTCTACTACCGCTAGCGCGACTCCCCGCCGCCGCTCTACTCACCTGACGCGCGCAGTGGACCGCGATTTAGGGGCACAGGGTCTCCCGGGGACCAGCGGGTGGAGCGCTCCGGCCGAGCACCCGCAGTCCCGGCGCCGCGGCCCCGCCCCGGCCCCGCCCTCTTCCGCTCCCTCCCAGTCATCAGGCCACCGAGAATGTGTGCCCCTTGACCCAGATGAGAGGGTGAGCCCGCCAAGGTCAAGCTTCCCATCCTAAGAATCATAGACAGCCCGGCCATGCACCACCACTTCGAGCCTCCAACCAACTGATAACTGCTGGTCCCAAGTAGCGCTAGGATTTTCGCTTTCCCAGTCTTAATTGACTCTAAAAGAAGAAGAAAAAAAAGCCTGGGCGCGGTTGCTCACACCTGTAATTCCGGCACTTTGGGAGGTCGAGGCTGGTGAATTACCTGAAGTCAGGAGTTCAAGACCACCCTGGCCAACATGGCGAAACCTCGTCTCTACTAAAAGTACAAAAATTAGCCAGGCGTGGTGGCGGGCGCCTGTAACCCCAGCTACTCAGGAGGCTGAGGCAGGAGAATCGCTTGAATCCGGGAGGTGGAGGTTGCAGTGAGCCCAGATCACGCCACTGCACTCCAGCCTGGGCAAAAAGAGTGAAACTCCATCTCAAAAAAAAAAAAAAAAAAAAAAAAAGGAAAGTATTTACGAAAAAAAAAAAAAAAAGACCAAAGTATTATGATTAAAACACGCGGCCGAGAGCGGTGGCTCACACCTGTAATCCCAGCACTTTGGGAGGCTGAGGGGGCGGATCACCTAAGGTCAGAAGTTCGACCTCAGCTTGGCCAATATGGCGAAACCTTGTCCCTATTAAAAATACAAAAGTTAGCCGGTGGTGGTGACGCACACCTGTAATCCCAGCTACTTGGGAGACATTGCCGTTACTGGGCAAGTGTTCTTTCAAGAGCATCTTATCTGAATTACTATAGTACTAAAGAATGTCTAGGCTAGGCCCCCGTGGCTCACTCCTGGAATGCTAACACTTTGGGAAGCTGAGGAGGGAGGATTGCTGGAGGCCAGGAGTTCAAGACCAACCTGGGCAACATAGCAAGACCCTTTCTCTAGAAAAAATGAAAACAACTTGGCCAGGTGTGGTGGTACATGCCTTTAGTCCTAGGTGCTTAGGAGGTTGAGGTGGGAGGATTGCTTGAGCCCAGGAGTTTGAGGTTACAGTGAGCTATGATTGCACCACTGCATTCCAGCCTTGGCAATGGAGTGAGGCCCTATTTCTAAACAGAACAAAAAAAAAGAATGCCTGCTGATAAACCTTGTGACAGGACATTCATGAAGGATGAAGAAAAGATTTCTTTTATTTTTTTATTTTTATTTTTTTGAGACAGAGTCTCGCTCTGTTGCCCTGGCTGGAGTGCAGTGGCGCCATCTCAGCTCACTGCAACCTCCAACTCCTGAGTAGCTGGGATTACAGGTGCGTGCCACCATACCCGGTTAATTTTTTTTTTTTTTTTTTTTTTTAGTAGACACAGGGTTTCACCATGTTGGTCAGGCTGGTCTCAAACTCCTGACCTCATGATCTGCCTGCCTCAGCCTCCCAAAGTGTTGGGATTACAGGCGTGAGCCACCGCGCCCGGCTAGAAAAGA
This sequence comes from Homo sapiens, assembly GCF_000001405.40. Classification (NCBI taxonomy): domain Eukaryota; kingdom Metazoa; phylum Chordata; class Mammalia; order Primates; family Hominidae; genus Homo; species Homo sapiens. Next base: position 948,213 of record NT_167245.2, read on the forward strand.
TTTCTTTCTTTTTTCTTTTTTTTTTTAAATTATACTGTAAGTTTTAGGGTACATATGCACAACATGCCGGTTAGTTACATATGTATACATGTGCCATGTTGGTGTGCTGCACCCATAACTCATCATTTAACATTAGATATATCTCCTAATGCTATCCCTCCCCACTCCCTAGAAAAGATTTCTTGTGGAATTTTTAAAAAGTCCTTTGAAACAATTCTTTTCTTTTCTTTTTTTTTTTTTTTTTCGATACAGAGTTTCGCTCTTGTTGCCCAGGCTAGAGTGCAATGGCATGATCTCGGCTCACTGCAACCTCCACCTCCCGGGTTCAAGCGATTCTCCTGCCTCAGCCTCCCAAGTAGCTGGGATTACAGGCATGCACCACCATGCCTGGCAAATTTTGTATTTTTAGTAGAGATGGGGTTTCTCCATGTTGGTCAGGCTGTTCTCGAACTCCCGACCTCAGGTGATCCACCCACCTCGGCCTCCCAAAGTGCTGGGATTACAGGCATGAGCTACCACGCCCAACTTAACAATTCTTACTTCAAACATGTAAGCATGACGTTCCTCTCCTTCATGCCTTCCTGGCCATTTTTTTTTTTTTTTTTTTTTTTTTGAGACAGAGTCTTGCTTCTTCACCTAGGCTAGCGTGCAATGGTGTGATCTTGGCTCACTGCAACCTCCACCTCCCAGGTTCAAGCAATTCTCGTGCCTCAGCCTCCCCAGTAGCTGGGATTACAGCCACATGCCAGCACGTCCGACTAATTTTTGTACTTTTAGTAGAGATGGGGGTTTCACTATGTAGGCCAGGCTGGTCTCGAACTCCTGACCTCAGGTGATCCGCTCGCCTCGGCCTCCCAAAGTGCTGGGACTACAAGCATAAGCCACCGTGCCTGGCCTGGCCCTATTTTATCTGGGTCTGACAAAAGTTATTTCATCCTAGTATCTGCAATTTTTCCGCAGAAAATTACAGAGACGCACAGTGAATGTGAAAGGAGGGAAATTAACAATAGCTATTGGCAGAGCCAAACAAATCATTACACTTTAGCTGGATCATCTGGGAGTTGAGACGTTGAGGGTATAAGGAGGTAGCATGTCAATGCTTGTTAAGAAAGAATGGCAACAACTGTGCTGCCTTACAGATCAGCACCTTCTGCAGTCTGCGAGCCCAACCTTAGATCCATTTGTAGGCAACAGTAAAAGGTCTCATATTTTCATCGCAGTGAGCCCTGACTGCCATTAGGAAGATTTGGTCCTCTAGGTAAGATTTCCCTGAGACAAAGTACTATGGGAAATCAAGTGCATATTCAGCCTCTTAGTACTCTGGGTTGGTGTTACCGTACTGACGAAGGCGATCCATTGATGAAAAACAAACTGACCTAAAGAAATGTAAATAAATGCTTGCAGTCAGCCCTGTTCCTCTGAAAAATTCCCCTAGCCCTTATGTTGAAACCTGATGAGAACTTTAAAAATGTTAACTTGGTAATGGACGGAATCCTCCTCATTCAAGGTTACCCCTGTGCAAGTCAAGCTCAAGTCAGCCTGAAGGTGCAAACCCCATGGACTCAGCCAGAGCCTATGGCTGTGGGTGCTAGATCCAAGGCCAAAATTGATGGCATCAGCCATCAGGATGTTTCTGCCCAATATAAAGTATTGGGTGGGCTGAGAACACTGAAAGCTTGCCATGCAGAAAGAAACTGAAAGTAAATGCGTGACTTTAATGGAACAGAACTTGTTTCTCCCTCCATGCTCCCGATCCCTTTAGATCCCTTTATCTCACCTCAGCCACTTTAAGACAAAAGGTGATTAGAGGTGTAGAGAAGTTCTAATGGGATACATTCATTTGCAGTAGTCCCCCAAGGTACTGTGATAGGCAGAATTCTAAAGATGCTTTCCCCCTCAAGATTGCTTCCCCTGGTTATTCAGTCAAATACTAATCAAAGTACAGATGCTCTTCAATTTAAAATGGGGTTATGTTTCAATAAAACCATTGTAACTGAAAAATATTTTCAAGTGGAAAATGCATTTAATGCACCTAACCTACTGAATATATTAGCTCAGCCTAGCCTACCTTAAATGTGCTCAGAACACATTTGCCTACAGTTGGGCAAAATCACTTAACACAAATCCCATTGTATGATAAAGTGTTGACTATCTCATGTAACTGGTTGCATACAGTACAGTATAGAGTACAGTATCAGTTGTTACCATCATAATTGTGTGGCTGATGGGAGCTGCAGCTCACTACTGCTGTCCAGCACCGTCACAGAGTATCATACTCTCTAACCCAGGAAAATATCAAAATTCAAAGTACAGTTTATACTGAATGTGTGTTGCTTTCACATCATCATAAAGTTGAAAAACTGTAAGTTGAGCCATCGTAAATCAGGGACCATCTGCACCACTATGTAGGGATTATGCTGTTGTAATTGAAGTCCCAAGACAATTGACCATAAAACAGGTTATCTGGTTGGGCCTGATCTAACCACATGAACTCCTTAAGGGGCAGAAAAAACAAAGATCAAAGAGAAGTTGGGAAGATTCAAAGCAAAAGAAGTATTCAGTGTACCATGGCTGTGTTTCAAGATGGAGGTGGCCATGAGCAAAAGAATGCAGGTAACTTCCAGAAGCTGAGAGCAACCCTTGGTTGACAGCTAGCAAGGAAACAGGAACCTAATTCCTACAATCACTTCTTCTCCCCTTGTCTTCTTCCCTTTCTTCGTGTGTAAGCGCATTATACTGTCTCTGTAAGCACAAAAATTGCCTAAAATTTAAGTGTAGTTTTCTGATCGCTTGTAAAACTGACACAGCTGTAATTATCATCCATGTGAAAAACACCATCCCAGTTAGAAACCTGTGAGCCTCTCCCCAAGCAGAACCCATTGATCCTACACAGGTGTCATCAGAGCTGATTCCTTTCTATGCCCCTTTATCTCTAATGTCCCTATTCTGTTCCTGTTTTCACTTCACCAGCAGCTTCTCCAACTCCCTAGGCCAATGCCCTGAGAATTTCCCTTCCTCTCCCCCATCCTAGGGATGGAGAGTAGGGGTTGGTCCCCAGGATAAGCCACATTTATCCCTGGAAGCAGCAGCAGAAGTGACAGTATGTTTGTGGGGTCCACTTGTAACCTGGGAACCACTTGTTTTGGCCTGGAAACCTCGCTCTGTCCCGAGGTCAGAATCCACGGTCACTAGGTGGAGAGGAAACATCTATGTCAGCGTGGATTTGGGAAACACTTCAGATTCCGAGCCTAACACGGGACTGGGGCGCCCCCTTGGGTACGTTGTCCTGTCCAGTTGCTGAAAGCCAAAGGTGACAATGGGGAGGTCTCAACCTGAGGAGGAGGCCAAAAGAGTCTGGTCTTCTGTTCTCAGCCCGGTGACCACACACAAGTGCCGATGTTCTGCTCTCTTGGATTCTGATTGAGCAGCCTGGGAGAGGACTGGGCTGCAGTCTAAACTGGACAGATATGGCTGGTGTGGAGGCTGGCTGTCAATGAGGGAGTGAAGGCAAGCCGCTCGAAAAGTAGATAATTTTTACTTCCACTTTCTTTTTCTTTCCTGAGCACTAGTTATAAAAATATCCTTTTAAAATCTAAAATATTGGCCAGGCACGGTGGCTCACACTTGTAATCCCAGCACTTTGGGAGGCCGAGGCAGATGGATTACCTGAGGTGGGGGGTTTGAGACCAGCCTGACCAATATGGAGAAATCCTCTCTCTACTAAAAATACAAAATTAGCCGGGCATGGTGGTGCATTCCTGTAATCCCAGCTACTCAGGAGGCTGAGGCAGGAGAATCTCTTGAGCCTGGGAGGTGGAGGTTGCGGTGAGCCAAGATCGCGCCATTGCACTCCAGCCTGGGCAACAAGAGCAAAACTCCGTCTCAAAAATCAAATCAAATCAAATCAAATCTACAATATTTTTGGATTTACAGAAAAGTTGCAAAGATAGTACATAGTTCTCGTATGTTCCACATTCAGTTTCCCCTATTATTAATGTCTTATTTTATTATACATTTGTGACAGGTTATGAAACAATATTGATACATTGTTACTAACTCCTATTTTATTTGGATTTTATTCTTTTCCCTAACATCACTTTTATGTTCCAGGATCCCATCCAGGATACATTACATTTAGTCCCCTTTATATCTCCTTAGCCTCCTCTGGTCTGTGACAATTTCTCAGACCTCGTTTTTGATAATTTGGTATTTCTTGAGGAGTACTAGTGAGGCATATTGTAAAATGTCCCTTAATTTGAGTGTGGTTGACAGGGCTATAGGTTTGGGGGAAGAAGAGCACAGAGATGAAATGCAATACTCTCAATACAACATACCAAGAGTGTATATTACCCAGTTGATTTATCAAATGATTATGTTAACCTCCATCACTTGGCTAGGGCAGTGTTTCCCAGTCTATAATATATGATTTTTAATAGCAGCCCAAAAAGACTAAAACACTTGCCCTTGCATGAAGAACCCTGTCTGACTTCCGGGAGCCCAAGGAGACGCAGGGGAGGTCCACAGCGAGAAGAAAAGGGGGCTCAGGTCGTCTGTCCTCAGGTCTATGGCCACTTGGGGGTGGCACCTCTCTGGTGTCTCAGACACAAATTGAGCAATCAGAAAAGGCTGGGATGTCTGTGGTCTGAGTTGGGCAGAGGTGACTGACCCTGGAACCTGACATCAATAGGGGGATGAAGACAATTTCTGAGCAGCCCCAGTAGTCAGAGGACAAGAGAACTCTGGAGCCCCACACTGTCTCTGAGGTTCCAATCTTTTCTCCCTCTTCCCAGCCCCTTGATAGGAAACCCTGGGAAAACTAAAAAGTATACTGTTTTTTCTTTAACTCCCTATTCCTTTCCTCTTCTGAGGGTTGTTGTTGTTGTTTTTTTTTAATAAACTTATTAATTTTAGAATACTTTTAGATTACACAAAAGTTGAAAAGATAATACATAGTTCTCACATATGTCACACTCAGCTCCCCATTGTTAACATATTTTTTTTTTTTTTGAGGGAGTCTCACTCTGTCGCCCAGGCTGAAGTGCAGTGGCACAATTTCGGCTCACTGCAACCTCTGCCTCCGGGTTTCAAGCCATTCTCCTGCCTCAGCCTCCTGAGTAGCTAGGATTACAGGTGCGCGCCACCATGCCCAGCTAGTTTTTGTAGTTTTAGTAAAGACAGGGTTCCACCACATTGGCCAGGCTGGTCTCGAACTCCTGACCTCAGGTGATCTACCCGCTCAGCTTCCCAAAGTGCTGGCATTACAGGTGTGTGCCACTGCCCCCAGCCCCATTGTTAACATCTTATATCACTATTATACATTTTTCACAACCAGTGAGACAATATTAATATAGTATCACTAAACTTTATTTCGATTTCATTAGCTCTTTCTGTTTTGAAACAAAGTCTTGCTCTGTCACCCAGGCCGGAGTGCAATGGCATGATGTCCACTCACTGCAACCTCCACCTCCCGAGTTCAAATGATTTTCATGCCTCAGCCTCCTGAATAGCTGTGACTACAGACACATGCCACCGTGCCTGGCTGATTTCTGTATTTTTAGTAGAGACAGGATTTCACCATGTTGGTCAGGCTGGTCTCTTACTCCTGACCTAAAGTGATCCACCCGCCTTGGCCTCCCAAAGTGCTAGGATTACAGGTGTGAGCCACCATGCCCAGCCAGGTTTCATTAGTTCTTTTAACTTCCTTTTTCTGTCACAGGATTTCATCGAGGATATCACATTGTATTTAGTCCTAATCATGTCTCCTTAAGGCTCCTCCAGGTTGACTTTGTTTTCAATGACTGTCTTAGTATGTTGAGTATTACTATAACAGAATAACTTGAAACTGGGTAGTTTATAAAGAGAAGATGTTTATTTAGCTCATGATTTTGCAGGCTGGGAAGTTCAACAGGATAGTGCTGGATCTGGCAAACTTCTGGTGAAGGCCAAATGTTAGGTCAAAACATTTTGGAGAAGGGGAAAAGTGAGTGGCATGTGCAAAAACATCACATGGGGAGACAGGGAAGCAAGAGAGAGTCTAGGAAACCAAACTTGCTTTTATAACAACCTGCTTTTTGGTAACTAACCTAGCCCCAACAGAGTAATAAATTACTCGCTCATGTGGGAGGACATTAATCTATTCATGAAGGATCTGCTCCTGATGACCCAAACGCCTCCCACTAAGCCCCACCTCCAACACCACCACCACATTGAGAACTTTTTTTTTTTTGCCTGAGGTTGGGAGTTTGAGACCAGCCTCACCAACATGGATAAACCCTGTCTCTACTAAAAATAGAAAATTAGCCAGGTGTGATGGCACATGCCTGTAATCCCAGTTATTCAGGAGGCTGAGGCAGGAGAATTGCTTGAACCCGGGAGGTGGAAGTTGCAGTGAGCCAAGATCATGCCATTGCACTCCAGCCTGGGCAACAAGAGTGAAACTCTGTCTCAAAGAAAAAAAAAAAAGAGTAAACAAAATTTAATTTTCCTAATGGAAAAAATTATGGTGCATTCTATAACAATAGAGGACTCACAGAAAACTTTGCAGGTAGATATATCAATAGAGCAATGAAAACAAAGGTATGTAAGTAGTAAATAGAAACTTCAGAGTAAATAGGTAAGAATTCCACAAAACTCAATGTACTGAAGGTTCATTTTACTCTCTAAAGGAGGAAGAACAGTCGTCTTGATGGGTGTGTTTAAGGGGCAATGATTGTGATGGAGTCTCAAATATTTCCTGACAGATTTTCTGATGTGTAACAATTTTCCTGAAAATGCAAATGATTCAGATCTTTTCTTTATCTTTCATTGTTTATTAATATCATATAAACACCAGCCTGACAAAAATGGTGAAACCCCATCTGTACTAAAAATACAAAAATTGGCCGGGCGTGGTGGCACGTGCCTGTAATCCCAGCTACTCAGGAGGCTGAGGCAGGAGAATCCCGTGAACCAGGGAGGCAGAAGTTTGCAGTGAGCCGAGATCGCGCCATTACACTCCAGCCTGGGCGACAGAGTGAGACTCTGTCCGCCCCGCGCCCCCCTCCCCCCACAAAAAATAAACAGCAGAACACCTTAACTATGAAGAGAATACAATATCATTCATTTGCTCTCTTTTTTTCTAGTATCATTTATCACACACACACACCCTCACACCTTTTGCTCAATAGGTAAACATCTCTTTCACTTCTGTATCACTTTCTTTCTTTCTTTCTTTCTTTCTTTTTTTGAGACGGAGTCTCGCCCTTTAAGTGCAGTTGCGCTGTCTCTGCTCACTGCAAGCTCCGCCTCCCGGGTTCACGCCATTCTCCTGCCTCAGCCTCCCGAGTAGCTGGGACTACAGGCGCCCGCCACCGTGCCGGGCTAATTCTTTGTATTTTTAGTAGAGACTGAGTTTCACCTGTTAGCCAGGATGGTCTCGATCTCCTGACCTCGTGATCCGCCCTCCTCGGCTTCCCAAAGTGCTAGGATTACAGGCGTGAGCCACCGCGCCTGGCCTCTGTACCATTTTCTCCACTTTGAGGCAGAGTCTCTCTCTGTCGCCCAGGCTGGAGTGCAGTGGCGGGATCTCGGCTCACTGCAAGCTCCACCTCCCGGGTTCACGCCATTCGTCTGCCTCAGCCTCCAGAGTAGCTGGGACTACAGGTGCCCGCCACCACGCCCGGCTAATTTTTTTGTATTTTTAGTAGAGACGAGGTTTCACCTCGTTAGCCAGGATGGTCTCGATCTCCTGACCTAGTGATCCGCCCGCCTCGGCCTCCCAAAGTGCTGGGATGATAGGCGTGAGCCACCGCGCCCGGCCTTTTTAAGACAGAGTTTCGCTCTTGTTGCCCAGGCTGGAGTGCAATGGCCCGATCTTGGCCCACCACAACCTCTGCCTCCTGGGTTCAAGTCAAGCGATTCTCCTGCCTCAGCCTTCCGAGTAGCTGGGATTACAGGCATGCACCACCACGCCTGCCTAATTTGTATTTTCAGTAGAGAGGGGGTTTCTCCATGTTGGTCAGGCTGGTCTCAAACTCCCAACCTCAGGTGATCCGCCGGCCTTGGCCTCCCAATTTCCTGGGATTACAGGCGTGAGCCACCGCACCCAGCCTGGTTTAATACTTTTTATTTAGTGGCACAATGCCCAGGAATGAATTAAAGTCATTAAATGAGGACTAGGTTGCTATGCACTTGGCTGTTTCTGGACTTCCTGTGCTGTTCCATTGGTTGGTCTATTCATTCACCAGTGCCACACTGTTCTAGTGACAGGGAATTTGTAAAATATTTAACTATTAGGCATAACTAGACACCCAATTCTCAATTTGTTTTTTTCCCCCAAGGGATTTTCTAATTATTCTTATTTATTTTCTCATGTGAACTTTATAATCTACTTGTCTAGCTTGAGAAAAAAAGTAGTTGTTGGCATTTTGATTAGGAGGTATTACATTTGAAAATTTACTCTGCAAATGTGCTGTATAGTCTTCCTATTTGAGAATGTTCTTCTGTACTACACAGCCATAAAAAGGAATGAATTAACAGCATTTTCAGTGACCTGGATGAGATTGGAGACTGTTATTCTAAGTGAAATAACTCAGGAATGGGAAACCAAACATTGTATGTTCTCACTGATATGTAGAAGCTGAGTTATGAAGACACAAAGGCATATGAATGATGCAATGGACTTTGGGGACTTGAGAGGAAGAGTAGGAGGGGGCAAGGGACAGAAGACTACAAGGTGCAGTGTATACTGCTCGGGTGATAAGTGCATCGAAATCTCACAAATCACCACTAAAGAACTTACTCGTGTAACCGAATACCACCTGTACCCCAAGAACTTATGGAAAAGAAAAAAAAGTTCTTCATTTTTTTTTTTTTTTTTTTTGAAATGGACTCTCATTCTGTCACCCAGGCTGGAGTGCAGAGGTGTGACCTTGGCTCACCACAACCTCCACTTCCCAGGTTCAAGCCATTCTCCTGCCTCAGCCTCCCAGGTAGTTGGGATTATAGGCTCACACCACCACACCCGGCTAATTTTTGTATTTTTAGTAGAAGCAGGGTTTCACCACTTGGCCAGGCTGGTCTCAAACTCCTGATCTCAGGTGATCCTCCAACCTCAGCCTGCCAAAGTGCTGAGATTACAGGCGTGAGACACCGCACCCGGCCCGATTTGTTCATATCTAATTTTTAAATTTCAGATGTGTTTTAATGTTTTCATTTAAAGTTTGCACACTTCTTAGTAATTTTTTTCATTAAAAACCTTTTTGTTTCTATTATATATGAGGTTATCGCCTCACAAAAATTTTAACTTTTTATTGTTTATATGAACAAAGGCAATTGTTTAATGTTTGGGAATTTATATGCTACTATATGCTATTTCTTTTCTTTTCTTTTCCTTTACTTTTTTGTTTTTTTTGAGAGGGAATTTCACTCTTGTCGCCCAGGCTGGAGTGCAATGGCGCGATCTGGGCTCACTGCAACCTCTGCCTCCTGGGTTCAAGCGATTCTCCTGCCTCAGCCTCCCAAGTAGCTGGGATTTATAGGCACGCACCACCATACCCGGCTAATTTTGTATTTTTAATAGAGGCAGGTTTTCACCACGTTGGCCAGGCTGGTCTTGAATTCCTGATCTCAGGTGATCTGCCTGCCTCAGCCTCCCAAAGCGCTGGGATTAGTCGTGAGCCACCTCGCCCGGCCTAGTCCCTTCTTTCAAATTTCATCACCACTCTTTGCTTGTTTTTCTTTTTTTCTTTTCTTTTCTTTTTTTTTTTTTTGAGACAGAATCTCGCTCTGTCAGCCAGGCTGGAGTGCAGTGGCACGATCTCGGCTCACTGCAAGCTCCGCCTCCCAGGTTGAAGCGATTCTCCTGCCTCAGCCTCCTGAGCAGCTGGGACTACAGGTGCGTGCCACCATGCCCAGCTAATTTTTGTATTTTTAATAGAGGTGGAGTTTCTCCATACTGGCCAGGCTGGTCTCTAACTCCTGATCTCGTGATCCGCCCACCTCAGCCTCCCAAAGAGCTAGGATTACAGGTGTGAGTCACCGCGTCCGGCCGCAATTTTTTTTTTTTTTTTTTTTTTGAGAAGGAGTCTGGCTCTTGTTGCCCAGGCTAGAGTGCAATGGCGCCATATTGTAGCAGGACGAGCCGCAGACAAAACTCCTCAGACACCGAGTTAAAGAAGGAATGGGTTTATTCGGCCGGGGGCATCGGCAAGACTCCTGTCTCAGGAGCCGAGCTCCCCCAGTGAGCAATTTCTGTCCCTTTTAAGGGATCACAACTCTAAGGGGGTGCGCTTGAGAGGGCCGTGATCGATTGAGCAAGCAGGGGTTATGTGACTAGGGGCTGCATGTCCCAGTAATTAGATCGGAACAAACAGGATAGGGATTTTCACAGTGCTTTTTTTTTTTTTTTTTTTTTTTTTTTTTGAGACGGAGTCTCGCTCCGTTGTCCAGGCTGGCGTGCAGTGGCGCGATCTCGGCTCACTGCAAGCTCCACCTCCCGGGTTCTCGCCATTCTCCTTCCTGCCTCAGCTTCCGGAGTAGCTGGGACTACAGGCGCCTGCAACCACGCCCGGCTAATTTTTTGTATTTTTAGTAGAGACGGGGTTTCACTGTGTTACCCAGGACAGTATCGATCTCCTGACCTCGTGATCCACCCACCTTAGCCTCCCAAAGTACTGGGATTACAGGCGTGACCCACCGTGCCCGGCCTGAAAAATCCACTGTTAGGCTGATGGAATTTCCTATATAGGTTTTTAGGACACTTTTTCTCTTCTCTTGCTCATTTTAAGATTTTTTTTCCTTTACATTGAGTTTAGATTGTCTGATGACTATTTGTCTTGGTGAAGTCCATCTTGCAATGTATTTTCCAGGAGTTCTCTAAGTATCTTCTATCTGGATTTTAAATCTCTAGCCAGGGTTAGGGAAGTTTTCCTCAATTATTTCCTCAAGTAGATTTTCCACACTTTTTACACTTCATTCTCCCTTAGGAATACCTATGATTCATGGGTTCAGATGTTTTACATAACCCCATACTTCCTGAAGGCTTTGTTCATATTTTAATTCTCTTTTCTTTCTTTTTGTCTGACTGGGTTAATTTGAAAGACCTGTCTTCAAGCTCTGAAATTCTTTCTTCTGCTTGGTCTAGTCTATTGTTAAAGCTTTCAGCTGCATTTGGAACTACTTTGATGAATTTTTTATTTCCAGGTGGTTTAATTTTTTTTTTTTTTTTTCTTTTGAGAAGGAGTCTCACTCTGTCGCCCAGGCTGGAGTGCAGTGGCGCAATCTCGGCTCACTGCAAGCTCCGCCTCCCGGGTTCAGACCATTCTCCTGCCTCAGCCTCCTGAGTAGCTGGGACTACAGGCGCCTGCAACCAGGCCCGGCTAATTTTTTGTATTTTGAGTAGAGACGAGGTTTCACTGTGTTAGCCAGGATGGTCTAGATCTCCTGGCCTCGTGATCTGCCCGCCTCAGCCTCCCAAAATGCTGGGATTACAGGCGTGAGCCACCGCGCCCAGCCCAGGTGGTTTACTTTTTTAAAAATATTTATCTCTTGGTAAATTTTTTATTCATATGCTGAATTGATTTTTTACATTTCTTTGTGTTGTTTTCAACTTTCTCTTGGATTTCATTGAGCTTCTTTATAATCATTATTTTGAATTATTTATTTGGTATTTCAAAGATTTTATTTTTGTTAGGATCTATTGCTAGAAAGTTAGTGTAATGTTTTGGGGATGTCATAACACTCTATTTTTTCAGAGTATGTTTTCAAAACATTCTACTGTTTTCAACAGAGAAACAAAGGACTTACTTAAAAAATAGAAAACATAGAGAGTTCCAGAATCATTTCTTTGGTTCCTTCTCATCTGTAGAAACTTTCTCTTCTTATTTTTGAATTTATTTCATTTGGGCAGGATTTTTTTTCCCTTTACAATGTGACTATAATGTATGTTGTTTAAGGTCCTTTGCATTTGGTTGTGAATGCTTTCAGTGGCAAAGACTCTGTAGTTGTCCCCTGGTTATAGATAGCCTTTGTATGGTGGCTTTCTCAAATGCCAGTTGTGGTGGTGATGTACTGGGAGTGTGAACAGGCTCACAGCCTCCTGCAGGGCCAGGATGGCAGAGGTTTAAGAAGTTTATCTCATTTCCTCTTTTGGAAGAGATGAGAAGTTTATTTCCACTCATGTGCCCTTTTGTCAACTGATTTGTATTGAGGTGCGTGGTTCAGCCTCCAGAACAGTAGGTGGGCTTATGCCTAAAAGCCTATGTGGCAGAAGCACGTGAGTATATGCTTCATCATTGTATACCTAGAAAAGTTCTCTGTTGCCTCAGGAAATGTGCTGGTAAGTGGAATGTACAGCAGCCTGGGCTCCCTGCTCAGCACCAGAGAGGGGGACATAGCTGAGTAGAGCTGGATCCCCAAGCCTGCCCCACAATGGTGAGCACAGGCAGCAGCTTTCAGGCAGGAGTGGTGGCATGGGAAACTTCTGGTGAAACGTGCCTAGGTCTCCACAGATGAGGAGAGGGCTGCCCCAGCTTCATGACCTGGCCAGGCAGGAATGCCATCCATTTCCCTGTCATTCCCTAGTCCTGGCATCGGGGAAACTCAAATTGACCAGACACTACTCTCTATCTCCAACTGCAATGTAGTTGAGACTCATTAAAGATGTCTTCTCCTCAGCTCACCATTTAAATGTCTTTGGTGCAGAGCATCCTCCCTCAACCCCAAACACATAGCTTTTCTTTTTCTTTTTTTTTTTTGAGATGGAGTTTTGCTCTTGTTGCCCAGGCTGGAGTGCAATGGCGTGATCTCAGCTCACCGCAACCTCCACCTCCCAGGTTCAAGCAATTCTCCTGCCTCAGCCTCTCGAGTACCTGGGATTACAGGCATGCGCCACCACGCCTGGCTAATTGTTTTTGTAGTTTTAGTAGAGACAGGGTTTCTCCATGTTGGTCAGGCTGGTCTTGAACTCCTGACCTCAGATGATCCGCCCACCTCGGCCTCCCAAAGTGCTGGGATTACAGGCGTGAGCCACCGCGCCTGGCCTGCACATAGCTTTTCAGCTTTCCTGCTCTCCACTGCAGGAATGCTAGCACTCCCTGTAGAGAGGGGAAAGGGCCCTGTCTTTCACACAAGCCTGGCCCAAATGGCCACACTGCCAGTGGAAACACAGTCACCCCTGATAGCCCTAGAAAGGCTCTTCTCTGGCACACGTGCCAATTTCCCATGGGAGTGGCCATGCTGTGTTTGAAGCAGTGGTGGATGGGGGAAGGGCAGGAGAATTTCCCCTTTCCATGCCTGATTCTAAGCACTGGGGCTGCTTGGCTGCTGGGATGGAACTACACTCCTTCAGCGCAGAGCTGAACACAGTGTCCACGACTCTGCTGGAAGTGGTGCAGTCACTCAGCCCACAAACAAGGAGCTCTTGGACACAGATGAGTACATGGCCTGGCCTCCTTTGTCCCAACTGGTACTTTTTTTGTGTACTGCAGTCTCCCTTTCCTTAGGAGCAGCAATCCCTGATGGCTAGACCACTGGGAACCCTGCAGCTCCACTGGGTCCAGCCAGCCCTGTGTGGCTGCCACAATCCAAGTGGGCACTGGGGGCATGGCTGCAGGAGCTTCTGTGATGTGAATATACAAAGGTTGGGGTTCCCTGGGAAGGACACAGTCCCCTGATGGCTACACTCTTAATATGGCACCCTGCCAACACTGCCCGAGTCTGGAGGAGGGACAGGTGACCCAGCGCAAGTTGGTTGTCTGGTGTGATGCCCTCCAGAAGTTCCCAAATCGCCATGCACATCAGTGTTTGGCTTTGTGAGGGCAGAAGGGCTCTCCGACAGTTCAGATACTGGTGGTCTTCCTTAGGGATGACGGGAGTCAAAACACTCCTATCTTACCTGTCAATGAAATACCAAGTCTCTCAAGGTTCCTAGCTGATTTCTGCCAGCTTCTTACTTTCTTCTTTTTTTCTGTCTCAGCTTTTCCCCATGAGTTCTGAAACATTCTGACGTGATTCTGACAGCTATTTCCACACTCAGGCTGGGCCCTGGAGGAGTGCCCTCTGCTGGTTCTCTGAGACCTGTGGCTGGGATCATCTCTGATAAGGTTTGGGTGTTTGTCCCCTCCAAATCTCATGTTGAAAGATCCCCAGTGTTGGAGCTGGGGCCTAGTGGGAGGCGTTTGGGTCATGGAAGCGTTTCTCTCATGAGTGGCTTAGTACCCTGCCCATGGTAATGAGTGAGCTTTCACTCTATTCGTTCACACGAGAGCTGATTATTTAAAAGAGCCTAGCAGCTCTCTTGCTCCTTCTCTCTCCATGTGACACACCTTCTCTTCCTTTGCCTTCTGCCACAAGTAAAAGCTTCCTGAGACTTCACCAGAATCCTAGTGGAGCTGGCCCCATGATTGTACAGCCTGCAGAACTGTGAGCCAAATAAATCTCTTTTCTTTATAAATTACTTAAACCCAGGTATTCCTTTACAACAACGCAAATGGACTAATACAGTCTCCCTCTGCTGCCTCCAAGGTCACTCCTTGATCTTCACTGCTTTAGGCAGCCTTTTACCCTACTTTGTAGTTGGAGCTTCAGGGGCTTAACATCTTAAAAGTTTTATTTTTTTTTTTAATTTATGCTTTTTAAAAAAATTTTTTTGAGATGGAGTTTTGCTCTTGTTGCCCAGGCTGGAGTGCAATGGTGTGATCTCGGCTCACCGCAACCTCTGCCTCCTGGGTTCAAGCGATTCTCCTGCCTCAGCCTCCCAAGTAGGTGGGATTACAGGCGCACGACACCATGCTCGGCTAATTTTTGTTGTTTTAGTAGAAACAGGGTTTCACCATGTTGGTCAGGCTGGTCTCGAACTCCCGACCTCACGATCCGCCCGCCTTGGCCTCCCAAAATGCTGGGATTACAGGCATGAACCACCGCACCCAGCCAAACGATTTTTTAAAAATAATTACTATGTATAAAATAACAAATAGGTAATTTGGGTAATTTTATTTTGAACTCTTTGGCTACATATTTTATGTACATATTGTCTCAGCAATCAGGAATTAAAATTTATAAACACTATTAACAAGCAATACTCTCTGATTTGAAGGAGAATCTAATTTGGAAGTCAGTCACATGATGATTGTGTTTTTAAGTTTTTTTTTCCATGCATTTGTTATTTTATGAATTGGTCTGAATGATGAGGCCAGGCAAGTGTATACATCTTTTCACTGGTAGAAAAATCTGTAGCAAAGCCTGTGCCCTTTTTACAACAATGACTTTTTTTTTTTTTTTTTTTGAGATGAAGTCTCACTCTTGTGGCCCAGGCTGGAGTGCAATGGTGCTATCTGGGCTCACTGCAACCTCCATCTCCTGCCTCAACCTCCCGAGTAGCTGGGATTACAGGCGCCCATCAACACGCCTGGCTAATTTTTGTATTTTTGGTAGAGGCGGGGTTTCACCATGTTGGCCAGGCTGGTCTTGAACCCCTGACCTCAGGTGATCCACCCGCCTCGGCCTCCCAAAGTGCTGGGATTACAGGCATGAGCAACCACACCCAGCCTGGATTTTGACAAATGTATAGAATCATATATCCACTACCCTAGTACCATCTACAACAGTTCCTTCATCCTAAAAATTTCCCTTTGAATGTTCTTTATCCCTTCTCCCTCCAACCTTTGATAACCATTAACCTGTTTTCTGTCCCCATAGATCTGCTTTTTCCAGAATGGTATATGAATTGAGTCAGATAAAATGAAGCCTTTTGTGTCTGACATTTTTTTCACCTAGTAAAACGCATTTAAGATTAATTGATGTATGGATTAATAGCTTATTTACATATATATATATATATATATATATTTTTTTTTTTTTTTTTTTTTTGAGACAGAGTTTTGCCCTTGTTGCCCAGGCTGGAGTGCAATGGCGCGATATTAGCTCGCTGCAACCTCCGCCTCCCAGGTTCAAATGATTCTTCTGCCTCAGCTTCCTGAGTAGCTGGGATTACAGGCATGCGCCACCACTCCCGGCTAATTTTGTATTTTTAGTAGAGACGGGGTTTCTTCATGTTGGCCAGGCTGGTCTCGAACTCCTGACCTCAGGTGATCCACATGCCTCGGCCTCCCAGAGTGCTGGGATTACAGGTGTGAGCCACTGCGCCTGGCCAATTTTTTTTTTATTTTTAAATAAACATAGACAGCATATCGGTATGTTGCCCAGACTGGTCTTGAACCCTGGCCACAAGCGATCCTTCCACCTTGGCCTCCCAAAATGAGCCACTGCACCAGGGCAACAGCTTTTTTTTTTTTTTTTTTTTTTTAGACAGATCCTTGCTCTGTTGCCCAGACTAGAGTGCAATGATGCAGTCTTGGCTCACTCCAACCTCTGCCTCCCAGGTTCAAGTGATTCTCCTGCCTCAGCCTCCCGAGGAGCTGGGACTACAGTTGCTCGCCACCACGCCTGGCTAATTTTTTCTTTTTGTATTTTTACTAGAGACGGAGTTTTGCCATGTTGCCCAGGCTGGTCTCAAACTCCTGACCTCAGGTGATCCACCTGCCTCAGCCTCCCAAAGTGCTGGGATTACAGGTGTAAGCCACCTCTTCTGGCCTGACAATAGCTCATTTCTTATGATCCATATGGTTATACCACAGTTTGCTTAGTCTTGCATGGCTGAAAGATATCTTGGTTGTTTACAGTTTTTAGTGAACATATGTAAAGCTGCTATAAATATTCATGTACAGGTTTTTGTGTGGATATCAACCTTGAATTAACTTGGGTAAATACCTAAGAGCATGATTGATGGTAAGTCTCTCCTTAACTTTATAAGAAACTTCTAAACTGTCTTTCAAAGTGGCTTTACCATTTTCCATTCCCATTAGCAGTGAGTGGGAATTCTTGTTGCTCTGTATATTTTCAGCATTTTTTATTGTAAGTTTAAAAAATTTTAGCTACTCTAATAGTGTAGCAGTACTTTGTTTTGGTGTTCTGTTTTGTTTTGTTTTTTGAGACAGAGTCTCACTCTGTTGCCCAGGCTGGAGTAAAGTGGTGCGATCACAGCTCACTTCAGCCTCCACCTCCCAGGTTCAAGCAATCCTCCCGTCTCACTCTCCCAAGTATCTGGAATCACTGGTGCATGCCACCACACCTGGTTAATGTTTGTTTGTTTGTTTGTTTGTTTGTAGAGACATTGTCTCGCCATGTTACCCAGGCTGGTCTTGAGCTCCTGGGCTCAAGTGATCCTTCTGCCTTAGCCTACCAAAGTGTTGGCATTGAAGGCATGAGCCACTGCACCCTATTGGCATTTCCCTAATGACAGATGATCTTAAGCATATTTTCAAGTATTATTTACCACCCATATATCTTCTTTGGTGGTGTCTGTTGAGATCTTTCACCCACTTCTAAAATCAAGATTTTTTTTCCCAATTATTGTGTTTTAATTTTGTTCACATATTATCTTTACAAGTCCTTTGTCACATCTATAACTTCCAGTTTTTTGACAAGTATTTTCTTCCAGTCTGTGCCTTGTCTTCTTTTCATTCACTTACCAGTGTTTTTGTAAGGCAAAAACTATTAATTATGATAAAGTGTAATTGATTTGTTTTCTCTTTCATGGATTGTATTTTTGGTGTTTTATCTAAAAACTCAAACTCAAGGTTAAGATTTTCTCCTTTATATTCTTCCAGAAGTTTTATGGCTGTGCATATTATTTTTAAGTCTATGATACATTTTGAGTTACTTTTTTATAGGTGTGAAGTATTGTCAAGTTTTTTTTTTGTTTTTTTTTTCTTTGAGATTGAGTCTTACTCTGTGGCCCAGGCTGGAGTGCAATGGCGTGATCTCTGCTCACTGCAACCTCTGCCTCCCAGGTTCAAGTGATTCTTCTACCTCAGCCTCCCGAGTAGCTGGGATTACAGGCATGAGCCACCACACCAGCTAATTTTTGTAACTTTAGTAGAGGCAGGGTTTCACCATGTTGGCCAAGCCAGTCTCAAACTCCTGACCTCAAGTGATCCACCTGCCCCAGCCTCCCAAAGTAGATGGATGCCAATTGTTTCAGCATCATTATTGAAAGGAGATTCCCTTCTTCATTGGATGACCTTTGTACTTGTATTCAAAATCAAGTGACTCTATTTTTGTCCTTCCATTTCTGGCCTCTCCATTCTGTTCTGTTGATCTATGTGTCTGTCCTTTTGCCAATACCACACTCTCTTGATCACTGTCCTTTGCAGAAAGACTGGAAATAGTATCTAATAATTTTGAAAGGTATGTTTTCATCATCATTCAGTTGAAAATATTATCTAACTTCCCTTATGTTTTCTTCTTTGATCCGTAGGTTATTTAGAAGGAAGATTTAAAATTTTCAATACTTTTTTGCCCCTAGACAACTTATTATTGATTTCCAATAAAATCTATTTTGGTCAGAGTACATATTCTGTATGATTTCAGTCCTTTGAAATATGTTGTTACTTGTTTTATGTCTCAACATATGACCTGTGCTAGTGAATGTACCATATTCACTTTACAAAATATATATTCTGGAGCTGTTGAACACAGTGACTGTAAATGTCAGATCAAGACGGTTGATAGTGTTGTTCATTTGTATTTTTAAAAAACTAAGAAAAAGCTGGGCGCGGTGGCTCACGCCTGTAATCCCAGCACTTTGGGAGGCCAAGACGTGTGGATCACCTCAGGTCGGGAGTTCGAGACCAGCCTAACCAACGTGGAGAAACCACGTCTCTACTAAAAATACAAAATTAGCTGGGCGTGGTGGCGCATGCCTGTAATCCCAGCTACTCGAGAGGCTGAGGCAGGATAATCGCTTGAACCCAGGAGGCAGAGGTTGCAGTGAGCGGAGATTGTGCCATTGCACTCCAGCCTGGGCAACAAGAGTGAAACTCCACCTCAAAAAAAAATTAATAAAAAAAAAACTAAGAAAAAATAGAGCATCTTTAACTTCCCACCATATATTTGGCATTTCCAGTGTTGGTCACTCCTATCTGAAGACTCAAGTTACCATCTGGTATGATTTCTTTCAACCTGGGAAACTCCTTCAGTATTTTTCTTGTAGTAGAGTTATGTTTGCAACAAATTATCCTAGTTTTATTTTATCTGGAGACACCTTTTCATTTTTCTTCCCTGAAAATATTTTTACTGGATGTGCAATTCTGAGTTAGGTTGTTTTCTTACAGCACTCAAAAAAATGCCATTTCATTGTCTTCTGACAACCATAGTTTCTGATGACAAATTATGAACACATGGACTGGTCATTCTCATAATTGTTCTCATGTATGTAACGTGTCATTTTTCTCTGATTATTCTCACGATTTTCTGTGACCATAGGCTGCTCAGGGCTGGACTTGGATATGGCCATAAAGTGGTACTGTAGGAAGTGCAGTATCCTGGAATTAATTCCGGACCTTGGAATTAACAGGGCTGGGCCCCTTAGCACCTGCCCTTAGCTCTCCTTTCCCCAGGTCCCTAGAAACCCCCTCCTGATCTACACACACACACACACACATGCACACACAACTTCTAACAGGGCCCTTCTCGTTTTTCTCTCCCCCCTGGTTCCTTCCACTCTCCCCCTTCTCTTATGATCCATTTCATCTCCCTTCTGCTCTCTGGACCAAGGCCCCAGGCCCGGACTCCAGGGTTGGAGCTCACAGGCTGATTCCTGGGATGAGCAGCCTCCACCTGCAGGAGCAGCAGCAGGAACAAGGGAGGGGACAGGAGGGCAAGGCCCCATTTTGGAGGCTGAGGGACTAGGTCATGTGGTAGCAATGGTCTGGGGGTGGATGAGCCCCAGATATGATCCCACTGTTTTGGCCTGGAGGTATCTCTTCCCTAAAGCCAAAATCCAGAGTCACTCAGTGGTGGGAGGAAACGTCAGTGTCAACATGGATTTTGGGAAGCTGGATGGACTCAGAGCCTGACTTGAGATCGGGAACCCCCTTGTATGCAGAGCCCTGTCCAGGTGCTGGGAGCAGGAGAGCCTGGGAGGTCCTGGCTAGGGAGAAAGGGGAGCGGGGTCTCTGTCCTCGGCCCTGTGGCCACACGGGGGCGCCGCTGCGCTGCTCTCGGATTCTGAGTGCTCTCCTGGACGGGGCTGCGGGCTGAATGGACAGACGGGGCTGAACCTGAGGTCATCCACGCTGAGACGGAGGTTCCTCCTGAGCACCTCTGGAATCCACAGGACTCAGGTTAGATTTGTTTGTCTTGCAACGTGAGGCAATTGTGGTGTAGCAAGATCTGGCTCTAGAATTCTTATGGCAAAATAGCTGTCATAGAATCCAACTAGAATGAGAGTCCAGGGCCTGGGTTGACTGCCCTGGGCACACCTGACTCTTGATGGGGTTGCCAAAATGTAGCTTGGCATTTACAAAAATTCTTTCCAAAGATTGCATCAAAGTCCAAAAGAATTATGTACAATTTCATTTCTGATGTCTCTGGCTGTGCTTTCGAAAGGGCAGGAAGAGCCATGGAAAGAGGCTGAAAGGCCCCTCTGGGAATTCTCAAATCTCTTTTCATAGCAGTAACTTGGACCTAGACAGCAAAGCCTGAAAGACACAGGTAGAAGGATCGCGAGGCGCAGCCCTCCCTTCTGATCAGCACGGGCATGGCTGTCTGGGCGCTTTTGCCCCTCTGTGTTCAGCAGGATGGACTCTGCAGTGAGGCGCAGCTCCTGTCTCCCCACTGCCCCACATCAGAAGCATGTTTCCTTATCTTGTTTTCCACACACTCCTTTTCTTTTTCTGTCTTGTGACCACGAATAGAATAGACAGGCAAGGTCCTGTAAGACCAGGTAAAAGATGTTACTGATGCACTTTGGAAGGCTGAGGTGGGCGAATCACAAGGTCAGGAGTTTGAGACCAGCCTGGCCAACATTGTGAAACCCCATCTCTACAAAAAAAATCAAAATAAAAATACAAAATTTAGCCGGGCGTGGTGGCATGTGCCTATAATCCCAGCTACTCAGGAGGCTGAGGCAGGATAATCGCTTGAACCCGGGAGGTGGAGGCTACAGTGAGCAGAGATTGTGACATTGCACTCCAGCCTGGGCGACAGAGTGAGACTCTGTCTCAAAGAAAAAAAAAAAAAGTTAGTGAAATCATGATTGTGAAGGAACAATGGCAAATGGAGAGAAAGAGCAGAGAGACAGACAGAGATAGATACACACGTACACACACACATAGAGAAAATGAATATCCATCCATCCATCCATCCATCCATCTATCCATCCATCCATCCATCTACCCATCCACCCATCCACCCATCCACCTTTCTATCTCCTTGCAAGGTAGGTTCATCAACACTTTTACATTTATGCCCCAGCAAAAATCTTTTTTTGGCTCACACCTGCCCTCCTTCATCCAGCCAACTGACATATTTGCTGAGGTCTTGCCACGTGCCGCACTGGGTGCTGAGCATTGGAGTCTAAACAGGAACAGACCCCTGGGATGCACTCCCGTGGGGCCCTTCACTGTCCCGTCCCTGGCTGTGAGACATCCTCATCTCCCTGAGGCTCTTGTTTCTGGTCACTGGGAAAAGTCCCTGGCCCACCTCTCTATTGATACCTGGGAGACTCTATCGCTACTTTGAATAAAGCACTGATTTTCAGCATTTATTCTGTATCCACACTTACTAATGCCCTTTCAACGATTTTCTCATTTAGAAGTTGTTACAAACGGGAGGGGTTATAACCTTAGGCACGTTGTTTAAGAGAATTGTAAAAATAAGGAAACATGATGGCAATGGGGTTTTCTGCTTTCTCCCAGAACACTTCATATTCATTTTCTCACCTGTGTTTGGTTGGTTGCAAGGTGGCTTCCACACCCCCAAGTTTATTTCAAGTAGCAGAAACACTTGCTTAGAAAACAAGTACTTTGGGAAATGCAGGGTCTCAGCCTCTGTCCTCAGGACTCCACACATCAGAAAGACATGTGCGTCTCCTGCCACAATCCTGGAGGTGCCCGTGGACTGCAGGTTCGCTCCTCACTGACTTTACTCATGTCCTACTGGAAAAGGATGGAGCTGCTAGAAATGTCCCAATGGCTTGGAACACTCAATTTCTCTGTGTGCACTGCAAGCAAACTGACAGTTTGACTTTTCAATTCTATTCAACACCTGAAAATAAACTGAATTTTCAGTATATTTCCTTCCAGAGAGTAAACTGAAAAGGGAACCTTTCTAAATTCAGTTATGATTTCCTGAAACATCGAAGAAGGCAAATGTGGGGGCCCTTAAAGACAAGAGAATTCTCTGACCTCAAATTTCATGTGGCAGCTGTAAGGTGGAGCTGGCAGCATCTGTCCCCACCTCTGGGTACACAGCAGAATGTGCCAGCTTTAGGGACCCCGGAGGACACAGCCGCACAGTGTCCGGGGGCATCCAGCAAACCCTCAGGAAGGACTCGATCCACGCAGGAGCCTCCTTAAGCAACTTCTCCCTGAAGAAACCCTGAAGTCTTAGAAATCCATAAAGAAAAAAGATATTCATGTCTCTGATAAAGAAAAGAAATGTCAGCAATCCAGCACCGAGAAGGGAAGCTACGAGACCACATTTTCTGCATGTGGAGAAGACACGTCTAATGGAGAGGTGGGAACTTGTCTCAAAAGTGTTGGGCCGCAGTGAGAGGGTGTGGTCGTCACTGCCACCACCCGCTGCTCACTCAGTGACCCCTCCCCATTGTAACTAACGGGCCAGTGAAGAGAAACACTTTTCGTCTGCTTGTACTGAAATAAGGCTATTACAATAAATCATCTCTGTGGTTGATTTTTCATTTAAGGATGGGATAACTGGGGAAATTGGTGCCTGCAGTGCAGGTTTTAAAGAAGTTCCTAGAAGCCCTTCTGAGGCCATCTCCAGGAGGCTGCCCCAGCGGGTATGAGGCCTTGCGCTTCTGCCATCCTGTGTGTCCCTGTGATGGAATTTTGGCCCAGCTAGGGATGGCAAGAGGCCAGGTCATCGCAGGTGGTCTGCAGGCCTGGTGAGGAAGGACAATGACAGACGGGGAGGCAGAAAGGCACACATATGACCAGACCTCCCCCTGGGTCCTGCTCCCATTCCTCTGTCCATCACTCTTGCTCTGTCTGCCCTAGGGGAAATTTCCTGAAGGAAACAGGAAAAGGAACCTCTATTCCTGGCTGCATATCTTTTATGTAGGCCTTTCCTGTTATTCAAGCATATCCCCAGCAGATGGCAGAGAAGACATTTCAATTTCGTGCCTCTGCTTTTCCTCCCCCTCCTCCAACCGGAAAGTCAGGACCAAGGGAATGGATGAAGGCATTAAAGGTATAAATGAGAATGGGTGATAATTTCCCTTTCTCTGAGCTGGGGAGTCCCATTGCAAGGGTGGGAATAGAAATGTCCAGTGTAACCATTCAGAGATGACAGATACTGCCCTGAAAACAGCCACAAAATCAAACCATGATGTGCCTCCCTGGGCTCCTTGGCTCTGGGCTGCTGCTTTCTTTTATTGAGAATCTAAGAGGTGCTGAGCATTCAGTTAAAACGGGACTCAAGAGTTCCTGCATTGTCCTCTGCCTTAATTGCATTTGAAAATATATTTTGTCAGTTCAATCCTTCTCCTGCCCGTCTCTGTTTCTCTTTTTAAAGAAGCTGAACATTGGCACCTTCAAAAGAAAATTGCTAACATGTGAAATAATATATTGTCTAGGATTTAGTTGAAAATAACCTGGTGTTGGGCTATGGTTGAGGATGTAGATAAATCAAGAGTGGGTGTTACTGAGTGAAGGGTACAGTGAAGGTTACTTTACTCTTCTGTCTACTTTTGTGTTTGCTTAAAATATTTGTACAAGTTTAAAAAAATAAGAACCAGGGTTACCAGGGGGCATGGCATATGCTGAATAATCATGAGATACCGGTTATAATTTCAAACAAATCTCCAATAAAAATAGATAATTTGAAGTCAAACCACAGGGACAAAATGTTTTTAGATGTCTCCAAATTCCTCACTTCCCTCCTCTAAATTCAGGTGGGTCACTTCATACTTTCTCCCAACCGCAGGTTCCCAATAGGCAGGTCCTAGAGCCCAACCTTGGTGGGGCAGGGAGTAGGGATTTAAAAACTGCATGATGATCAACAGCAGGAAAGAGGATTGGGGCTGAGAGGGGAGGAGAGGCAGGCAGGAGACCCCTGGGGAGTTGCTGCCCCAAGGAACTCCTTCTTCACCCTCTGAGAGAAAGTGTCACAGGACCACAGACCCTTGGTCTTCATAGGTCCCATAACCTCCCCCGAATTGTATGTAAAATTGTGTGGGAATGCAGGTGAGTGCATTTCAGCTGGGGCTGGCTTTGACAAGGCTGTGGCCTTCAGTAGATATCAAAGTAGTCATCTAGGTCTCGTGTAGATGATGGAAAACTCGATGGGAGGGAGACACGGTGCCTTGACCCAGAGTCAATGCCAATAAACTTGGCTAGGACATAGTACCCAGTCATTTAATCAAAACCTAATCTAGATGTTGCTGTGAAGATATTTAGTACATGTGGTTAACATTTACAATCAGTTGACTTTATGAAAAGGAAATTACCCTCAATAATGTAGATGGACCTCATCCAATCAGTAGAAGGCTTTAAGAGCAGAAACTACAGTTTCCCAGAAAAGAAGAAATTCTGTCTTAAGACTACCATATCAACTTCTGTCTGCATTTTCAGCCTGCTGGCGTATCCTACAGATTTCACACTTGCCACCGTAATAATTGCATGAGTCAGTTTCATAACACGAATAACACACACACACACACACACACACACACACACACACACACCTTATTGGTTCTGTTTCTCTGATGAATCCAGAATAATACAGATTTTGGTACTTAGAGTGATTCTAGAGGAAGAGAATCCTTTTAAAACGTTTATAGCCAACAATAAAAAACTTTATTAAAAATGTTGAAAAGCATAAAACGGTAATTATAAATTAGCAAACACCCAACAAGAAAAGCACTTATTTTCTTTTCCTTATACAGTACAAGAAAGAGTAATTGGGATCTCATTCACTTTCAGCCACCATTTGCCCTAGATGTCCTTCACTCAAAACAAGTTTTTAGCTTGTGTTTTTGGAGTGGAAACTCACATGGCTACTAAGAAACAACTCTAAAAATGTAACTTAGACACTCAAAATTCCATGTGCCATGTTAACATGTAATGATGGTTCATATTACAGCATCTCACAATGGGTAAGCATTATTTCCAAAGTAAAATTAAGTCACATTTGTGGTTGCTAGTGAATGCGGCAGAAATGGACCCTGAAGATTCAGGCATTGTTCTGCTCTGGAGTAGGACATCTGTGGCTCCAGCAAACTGTACAAAGGCTTTTTTTTTTTTAATGTATCTTCCGTGATACTTCAACTATTTCACCTTATTAATCATTTTCTTGCAAACAAAACTGAAAATATCAGTTCATAATGTGTTTCCATACACCTTGCCCTTATTCAAATGGTTATGAACAAGTGGTCTTCCATTTTCTATTGCCGCTGTAATTATTTGTTCCTGATCTGGCAACACCTTCTTCAGCTCCTTTCTCTGGCCACCGAGATTAACAGTCCAACAAGCGGTCTTTTGATTCACTAAGTGGCTTAATAGGACAACGTTGATTTGAGCCAATACTTCTGGCATGTTCATTTCAATTTGTAACTTTTTTCTGAATTCATCCCCACAAGGTGAGCTGGAAAACTGCAACCATAACCAAAGCTAGAAAATACTGGAAGTAGCCAATATTTCTCTTCATCACCAAAGACTGGTCTCTAATTTTTACTATTGTTCTATTTTTTCCAGCCAGCCAACAGTAGTAGCTGAAAAGCGAGAGCACACTGATGAAGAACACTGCGGGCACAAAGAAAAGGAAAAGTATGTGGAGCTTTGCTGTGTATCTCTCAGTTCATTCTACTCACTAGAACGTGGCGTTCTCAGGAATTGACGTCCTCCAGGCCCCCAGATGAGGGTAGTGAGCACCCTGAGAGCCAGCTGGACTCCCCTCTTGGTGTGTTACTGCACAGCCACAGCCTCTGGGTAGGGAGTTGTCCTGCACTTCTGGAATCATCTTTTTGGTCATGGTGGCTACTGCTGTACTGTCCTTCTGAGGTCAGTGAGATAGGATGTTCACAGCCTCCCTTGAAAGGAAACAAGAGACTTGTCAGGTTGATGGAGAGAACAAGCTGTTCGACAGTGCGCAAACCATATCCTGGGCTTGTGGTTAGAACATCCTGCAGCAAAGAGGTAGAAGAGCCAAGGGAGGCATCCCCACATCTGAGGAAGCCCAGAAACCCATGAATAGCGTCCTTGGGCTGACCTATGCTCATTACAATAGTAGCAAACACAACTCCGAGAGGGAAGTTAAGATGCTAATGAGACGTAAGATGTGTGTGCTGATATGTACAACCATAGTGCATGCACGTTCAAGAGACCACAGAACATGCTTAAAACAATACCCCTTCCCACCTATTCATGAATAATCATGTAAGACTCCCGTGAGGGGAGGGTACTGTCTCTCTTTTGAGCAGCTGCTCTGATCAGCTGTCAGAGTGTACTTTCACTTTGCAATAAATTCTCTTGCTGACTTTTACTTTGGACTTGCTCTCAAATTCTTTTGTGTGGCAAAGTCAAGAACCTGAACCGGCCCATTGGCTACATTTCCTTCCTTTTTTCTTTCTTTCTGTATCTTGTTGCTAGGGATAACTTTGCCCCTGCTGGCAGCATGCCCCTGAGGATGGCACCCTGTGGCTGGCGTCTTCCTTGGCTTGGCCTCGGGTCACTAAGCATAGCCCATGGTAGGAGGTTCTGAGAATGAGTGGCACTGCCTTGTGCAACAGTCCCCATGGGAGTGGCCCACAGGTGCTTGCATCTGTGGCATTTTCACAACTGTTTAAAAAGACTCAAGAATGTACTGTGGGAGGAGAGCAGGTCTGGAGACTCACCTGTGTCCCCCCACCTGCTCATCTGCATGGCCGTGTGCCTGACATGGTCAGAAATGAGAAATGCTGCTGCCCCTTTGCAAAGCACTACTTAGTTTTTCTCTTCTTGAAGGTGGTGGCACGATGCCCAGGTTGAGATGGACGCAGGAGTCAGCATCCTAAAGTAAAAGGAGAGACTTTAACAGAAATACCTGAGCTTTTCAATGAGAATGAACAGGGCCTTTTACCCTCTGGCAACTGTGTATTTCCCATTGACATGTTTCTTGTCCTCAGAATGGTTTTCCCTTTTTGCAGGTGGTTTATTGAAAAAGGAAAGGACAGAAAAGAAAAAGCAGGAGAAGGTGTATGGGAAGCTGGGACCCTGGCCCTGTGCAGGGGAGATACAAGGTGCTTCTGGGGAGGCTGCCGCCATCTGGGGCACTGGCACATGGGGCATGGCAGGGCTCGCCTTCCTGATGATGCCGCCTATCCCAGTTGCCCACCGGAAGTTGCAGTGCCCAGATTAGTTTTGTATTGATGGAAATTTAAAAAAAATTATATTACATAATTTTATGCTTTTTGAAAATAGCTAATAAACTTTTATGGCTAAGTTGTTAGTAATGGTAATCTCTCTAATCTGCTTAAAGACGGTCAAATCTGCAGGGTTCCCATCTCCACTGGACACCTGTGCTTCCTGTGGGGTCTATTTTCCGGTGGCTTTCCCTGTTGGTTGCCCCTGTGACTGCTGACATCCTGCCTTCTGGTGGAAACCACACTCTTCCTTGCCCAGTGAGGGTTGGAAAATTGGATGACTAAACTCGACGAAGATAGCAAATAACATTTGTTCTGCGTGGGTGCCATCATCACCTGCACTTGAAAGCAAGGCTGAGGTGCAGAAGACACAAAATGTGGCCATGTCCCTTGGCTGGCAAGTGGCCTAGGGGCAATGTGAGCCTGAGTGTATGACACTGTGACACAGGACAGGGTGCGTCACAGTGTTGCCCATTGTGACTGCAGGGCCAAAAGGAACCAGGGCTGAGAGGAACCTGGAGACATGCTAGGGTGGGGCCAAACGAGGGCTTGGAGAGAGCCTCCACCCACCCTCACAGGGCCTGGTGGAGACAGACCGAGGAGGGGCACCTGCCCCTCTCCCCTTGCAGAGTGGAATGATAGCTGATGACATCATTTTGAAAGTCACAGTACTACAGAGATGTTTGGACACTCATCAGAGGCAGACCTGCTGTGGGAAAGTCAAGGCCTTGGTGCGGAAACCTAAGATTCTGCAAACTGGAACAGGGTTATCCTATGGGTGCCCTTTAGAACTCTCTGGGCATGCAGAGGAGGCTCGCCCTTCTCTAGTAATGGTTCCCACTTCCTACACTGGAAGTTGCTGCAGAAACCTCACCCCTATGATGCAGTGGGAATTCCACTCAGGAGCTTTGCAGTAACAGCCGTTATGTCCCCGTAGGAGCCTGAGGAGCAGTTCTGGGATTGGAATTTAAGGGTGTTTGATCAAAGGGCCAGAATCAAGCTGGATAAATTAAAAAAAACACCTTTGGCTTGGGAGCACTTTCTCAGGGTATGGGTTTATCAAGGACCTCAGGGCATGGGGCAAACCCACTGCTGGGGTGGACCCATGTAGACTGGAAAAAATGATGTCCAACTCTCAGTAAGTTAGACATGAGTTAGTTGTCCTGGAACATGTAGAGGATGGATAATGAGGCTGAGGGAAGTGGGTGTGTGGGATGGAGACATCATGTGAACCAGAATGCCCACTAGGGCCATGCTCCACAGAGGACCCATAGGGCACACCTTCCACCAGAGCCTCAGGAATGTGCTGGTGAGAGGGACTTGCATTGCTAAGAAGCGTCGGGGTGGTGTCCTCTGCAGGCTGGGTGTGATGGCAGGAAGGAGGTCCTATAGTTGGGCTCATTGATATTCCTGAGGAAAGTGTGGCCTTGAAAAGGCAGAGAACTAAATGGTGACAGTGGCCTGCAAAAGCCAGAGGGCACGGTTAACTTGACAATCTCAGAGGAGCAGCTGAGGCAGCTTGATCTGCAGGGAGTTGTGGGGAAGGTTAATAGAGGGTGGTGTCAGAAAAGACAGCAGCCAACAAGGGCACTGCTTGACATCTATGATAAGAAAGCAAGAATTGATGAGCAGGGGGCTGAGGGTGTTTAACTCAATACAAAGTCATGATCCCATTCTCAATTCCTAAATGTCAACCAAGTTTCAGATTCAGATCCCAGTTACAGAGAAGGAGTCCCTATCCCAGGAGGAAGGACCCTGGAACCTCATGGCAAGTATATGCTGGAACAATTCCCTCTGTCTTTCTGCAAAGGAGCCTACAGTCATTTACTCAGGGGACTGTACACTAGGAAAGGGAAACAGGCAGAATTTGGGGGAGTGTTGACATTGGGTGTGAGCTAATATTGATGCCTACAGGCCTACAGCACCATTATGTCCCCAGCACAGTGGGGCTTACAGAAGCTGGGAATAAATCTGGACACATCACAAAGAGACTACTGGGTCCACAGACCCAGCCCTGTTTATCTCCCCATTCTCCAAGTGTGTAATTGGCATTGATGCCCTGGCAGCTGGAGTAACCCCCACATTGGGTCCCAAGTCTCTGGAATAAGGGCTGTCATTTTCTGAAAGCCAAAGGGAAACCTCTGCAACTGACTTCATCTTGGCCAAATAAAAAATGATATTGAGTCCCAGGGTGAGTCTTATGAAAGGTGCTGTAGGTATTGTAGGTGTAGCACCGCCATTAGGGAGCTGAAGGATGAGGGGTGCTGTTGGAGTTGCCTATTATCTTCATGTAATCCAGCAATCTGTCCCCAAGGAAGCCTGATGGGGCCTAAAGAATGAATAAGATTACTTCAGACTTGAAAAAGTAGGAGTCATAATTGCAGCTGCCATGCTGGCTGGATATCACGGGTAGAGCAGATTGATAAGGCCTCAGGCACAGAGTGTGCAGCTGTGGATTTGGTGAGTGCATTCCTTTCCATTCCAATGAGAAAAACTATACATGAAGTGATTCATGTGGGATCCACAACACATTTATTGATAATTGGCCTCAGGGTTATTGTAACTGACCTGCCCTCTATAGTATAGTCTTAAGAGATCTGAA
This sequence comes from Homo sapiens, assembly GCF_000001405.40. Classification (NCBI taxonomy): domain Eukaryota; kingdom Metazoa; phylum Chordata; class Mammalia; order Primates; family Hominidae; genus Homo; species Homo sapiens. The sequence goes on from NT_167245.2 coordinate 978,218, forward strand.
GAACTTGGGAGGCTGAGGCAGGAGAATGGCGTGAACCCGGGAGGCGGAGCTTGCAGTGAGCCGAGATCCCGCCACTGCACTCCAGCCTGGACGACAGAGCGAGACTCCGTCTCAAAAAAAAAAAAAAAAAAAAAAAAAAAAAAAAAGAGATCTGAAGAACCTGGCATCCTATAGAATGGTAAACCAGCTTATTTCATCAACAACATCATGTTGACTAGGATGGATGAGTAGGAGGTGGAAAGTATGCTGAAGGCCTTGGCAAAACACGTGCTCTCCAGAAGATGGAAGATAAACCATACAGAGATTCAGGAGTGGCCACTGTGGTGAAGTTTTATTCATCCAGTGGTTGAGGACATCCAGGAGTTTCTCCTCCACAGTAAAAGACAAAGTGTTGCATCTTGCATCCTCACTACAAGGAAGGAAGCACACTGCCTGGTGAGCCTCTTTGAGTTCTGACAATACCACATCCCACATCTATTGTTTTGACCTACACTCTAGGAGAAATAGGAGGGGACTTGCTTCAATTAGGCCTGCTGAGGAAAGGACACTGGCAGATTCAGGCCATGAGGCAGCGCCATCCCTCAGACCCACCTAGAGGTGTCAGTCCTGGGGAAAGATGCAGGATGGAGCTGAAACAAGCACCAGTGGGGGAGTCACATGGACGGCCTGGGATTCTGGAGTAAGGCCATGTCATCCACAGCAGAGACATATGCCCCTGTTAGAAGCAACTTTTGGTATGTTACTGGCCTTGATAAGATAGAATCCTTGCCATGGGACAGCAAACAACCATGTGATTTCAAATGCCCATATGAATTGGCTTCTGTAACTCAGAAAGTCATAGATCGGACAGACCCCAAAGCATCCATCATGAGATAGAAATGGTCCATCTGGATTGAGCATGAATCCTATGTTGACACCTCCAGAAAACATCCAAACCTGAAGTGGCACTAAACAACCAAGCAGACAAATTGAAGTTAGCCAGCCCTCACCATCGGGCAGCCCAGGCCTAGCAGGATGGGTTCATGAATGGAGCAAGCACAGTGGCAGGGATGAGGCTAAATATGGGTCCAGAAGCACTGACTACCACCTACCAAGACAGATCCAGCTGCTGCCACCTCTGAATGTCCAACTCATTAGCATTTGAGGCCAATGATATGCCTCAGTGGGGCTATATTTCTTTAGGTGACTAAAGCAACACTCGCTGCTAAGTGATTAGTTGAGCCACTTCCATTCTGGAAGGGCCAGAGGTTCATCTTTACAGGGTTAGGCACCATTCCATGAGTGGGTTTTCCTGTCCTGCTCTCAGACCCTCAGTCAGCACCACTCTCCAGGGACTGTTGACATTCCTGATTCACAGGCATGGCATTGCTCTTAGCACACTGTCTTCCTGGCGGAACCCACTTGACAGGGAAGCAGGTGCAGCATTTTCATGGCCATGGGATCCACTGGTTCTATCACCATCTGCACCACCCAGGGTCTGCCAGCCACTAAGAATGCTGGACAGGTCTTCTACAGGCACAACTCAGTGCCAGCCTGGAGGAAGCACTCTGAGGAGTGGGTGCTGTCTTTCAGGACATGGTGCATTTATTAAATCAGAGACATCTCTACAGTGCCGTGTTCTCAGTAGGAAGAACATGTGGGTCCAGAAACTAAGGAGTGAAAGTGGGTATGGCTCCATGTCTCATTCCTTAGATTCACCTGCTGTGGGATTTTGCACTTCTCATCTCCCAAACCTGTGCTCTGCAGGGTAGAAGGTCCTGGATTCTAAAGGAAGGTACTCTTAAATCAGGACAAATGAGAGCCTACTGAAGAACACATTACTATTGCCCCCAGAGAGATTTGGACAGTATGTGCCCAGAGACCAGCAAGTGAGGAGTCCCCTCCTCTCCAGGCACAGGTAATAGATCCTAATCTCCAGGAGGAGGTTGGGCTGCTGTCACAATGAGGGCAGGAGGAATGTGTGTGGAACCCAGTGATCCACTTGAGGGGTCTCCTGGTTCCCCTTGTCCCATTGTAAGTGTTAGTGGAATTGTCCAGCAACCAATCCTGAGGGAATTTGATTTCCAAGGGCCCAGAAACCTCAGGAAGGAAAATTTGAACCATGCTCCCAGATAATCTCCCAAGGCCCTGCTCCTGTGCTCTGACATCCTCAGCAGCATTGGTGCAGGCACCCTGCTTTCCATGGGCTGTTCCCAACCAGTGATGGGTGACAAGAGGGACACTAAGGGAGGCCCATGTCTGGAAGACAAGGGCCAACTGTGACGAGAGGACTCCTCTATGGCCTTGCTCAACTCTCCTTAGATTGCCTATGGTCTAGGATGTGTCCAACAAACCTCCTCTCCTGTCCCTCACTTGGGGATCACGCTTGCATCTCAGTCTGCTGTCTCTCCCAAGGTTTCCTGGATCTTTTCCCATATTTTCTGGCAGGTGAGTCCTCTAATAAAATACTGCAACTTTAATCTCATGTCATCTGCTTCTTGGAGAACATGGACCAACAAAATCATTTCCATTTACACACCAGTGACCTCTTACTTTTCCAGTTTGTAAAATCCTTTTTTTTATCCAACTTCTTCCACCTGCCCCAGTTTTGCTAGTATTTGTGTTGTTTTCTTTGAGTAAATTGATGTTCACTGTTTTAAGTCACTAAGTCTTGGGGTAGTTTGTTACACAGCAACAGATAGCTAATAAACCTCTCTTATGTTTCGATTATTCCATAGTGGTTATCTACATCTGATTTATTTCCTTCTATTTTTATAATATTATCCATACATAATGTTTCCCGTTTCTCTCCACCTATTCTCTTCTTGATTTTTCTTTTCCTTCCCACCATTTTTTCCTACTTCTCATGAAATATTCCTAACATATAAAATAACCCTATGTGGTTATGATATAAGGAAGCATTTTCTGAATCTGTATGTTAAAAGTTTAATGCCACAGTGTATGGGATACAAGTAAAGAACAGGAAGTTATTAACAGAGTCTGAGTAAAAAGTGCCTGGTGTAATTCTGCGGCCAAGACAGTGACTTTGAACTCTTACAGGCTGATGCAAAAATAATTGCAGTTTTTGCCATTACAATAATTCTTACCAAGAACTATTCACATTGGACCAAAGCCAATTGTAATGATCCATGTGATGGAGAGAGCCAGAATGCTATGAAAGTGGCCTTGACCAGAAATAGGTCATTTGATCCTTGGCTCATTGACATCTCCATAGATTTTTGGTGTACAATGTTTGGTCTGATGTGCAAGGTAATTCCATCTTGCAAAGGATTCGATGTTACATTCTACCACACACACACCTGAATTAAACTTTTACAGAATTGGAAATGCACATTACTGATCAAAATAAATTAAACAGGAAAAAATTATATAGGAATAACCAGTGATAGAATAGCAAATAGGAATGGAAAACACAATAGGATTGCTTAAAAAATACTGTAGAAGTACAGAATAGCAGTGCTATTTAGAATCATAGTGATGTCCAAATCATGTCTACCACGTCTCATTAAAAACCAGAGCGAAAGATGTCAAGTTTATTATGGAATGCCCACCCAGTAGCCAGTTTTTGGAAAATCTTGTTCCTAAGTTGGAGCTAAGCATTTTGGGCTACTGTATCCAACCAAAGTTACTGACATTATGCTAAGCTAGATGTGTTGGCTGAGGTATGAGATTCACATTTTTTCTACCTTAAAAGCAATCTGATTTGGCAAATATTTTTAAAGATGATATTTGAATGAGAAAATTGGCATTTGGGACATTCTTAAACTAAATTTGAGACATCTTAGGCAAAACAAATACTTATTTTTAAGGCACTATTGTTATGGCACTGAAGTCTTGGAACTATTTGATCTAGTTACTGTAAGTTCTCAGCTGTGTTGCAACTCATTAAAGAGAATATTGTTATTAAAGGTATTTGCAAGAAAAACTTAGAGATACTATAGTATCTCCTTTCTCTGTCTCAAACTTTTTTCCCCTCAATACCCAAGGCTCTGTGATGTCTCAAATTTTAATCATTACTTTAAAAAGAGAAGTTTAAAGCATTAAAGAATTATAATCAGATGAAAGCAGCTTTGGATTTATAAAATTCTGAAACAATAATTTTAATTTTGCTTTTAACATATATGCAAATTCTTTGATACTCTCCACTTTGCAGAGGTGCAGGTTCATTCCCTCCCTGTGAGTGTGGCCTGGACTTAATGATTCACTTCTATCTGATGGAGTGACTGTTGGTGTAGAACAAAAAACTTACCGTAGCTTCTACCTTTGCTCTCTCTGTCTCTGGGATCATGAACTCTGGGGGAAGCCAGCTGCTGTGTCATAAGCAGACCTGTGGAAAGGTCCATGTGGCTAGGACCGAGGCCTCCCGGGACCAGACAACAAGGAACTGAGGCCTTTTCCAATAGCCATGTGAGTGAGCCATTTTTCATGCAAATCCCCAGCCCAGTTGAGCCCTCAGATGATGCAGCCCTGGCTGACAACTGGACTGCAACCTTGTGAGAGGCCCTGAGCCAGAAACACTCAGGGAAACCTCTCCTGGATTCCTGAGCATTGGAAACTGTGGGAGATGATAAATATTTGTTGCTTTGAGCTGTTACATTTTCAGTAATTTGTAATGTAACAGTAAAAAAAAATACAGCTTCACAAGAGAGGATGAATAGTTGCACTTTAATTTTCATTTGCTCTAAATTTATTAGTGTTATTGTTATCATCATTATTATTGAGACAGGGTCTTGCTCTGTCACTCAGGCTGCAGTGCTGTGGCAGGAGGACAGCTCACTGCAGCCTCGACCTCCTAGGCTCATGTGATCTTCCCACCTCAGCTGTCTGAGTAGCTGGGAGTACAGACATGCACCACCATGCCTGGCTAAAATTTTTGTATTTTTGGTAGAGACAAGGGTTTTGCCATGCTGCCTAGGCTGATCTCGAACTCATGAAATCAAGCTCTCTGCCTGACTCCACCTCCAAAAGTGCTGGGATTACAGGCATGAGCCACCACCACACCCAACCTAAATTAATTATAAAATATTAAACATGTCATTTGGTTTTAAGAGGTAAGAGGAATTTCCATGGCTAAATAGGATGTATTTTATTATCATTCACAATTATTGCTTTATTTGAACTTCAATTTCCACCTGTGTCCCAATTAAACTCAAAAGAAAGACCCAAGCCTTGCTAGGCTGATTCTATCATCCCCCCCATGATAGACGTGTAACCTTGGTCATTCACCTGACCCCAGTTATTCAACCAACAATAATGTAAGTCCTGCCTTGAAGGGATTTTTGCATATATAATTAAGGTCCTAAATCAATTGACTTTAA